>NC_000010.11:7282727-7434242 GCF_000001405.40 Homo sapiens | reverse complement strand
TGGTGGCGGGTGCCTGTAATCCCAGCTACCCGGGAGGCTGAGGTAGAAGAATCGCTTGAACCCTGGGAGATGGAGGTTGCAGTGAGCTCCAGCCTGGGCAACAGAGTGAGACTCAGTCTCAAAAAAAAAAAAAAAAAAAAAAAGGAAAAAAAAGAAAAGAAAACACATGCTCACACAGCGGCATGCAGATATAATCTCATGTCCTGGCTAGCCCAGTATCTTTTAATAATATATTTTATGCCTAACTCAGCAAGGGAGACTTGGAGAGTGAATCAATTTCTCTTTATGATACCTTACCAAAGGAGTCTGTTGAAAATAGGTTAATAGATTTTCCCGAGTGTAACCAGAATGTGGAAACAAAACCGGACTGTTACGAAGAAAAATGAAGATTAAAAACAGCCAGATTCCTACCTGCCTTCAGGATTTCAAACTTTATTAACCAAACCGTTTTCTTAATTGCATACCTCGTTAGAGAACTGTAGGAGTTATTTATAAAACACTTAGGTCTGTTTTTTAATATGGCGTGGATACGTCTGCAACATGCCTATCTGTGTGCACGTTTTCACGGGATCTGCTGGTCACTTCAACAAGGAAGGCGTTTGTTCTCTTCTTTTCAAATGCAAATATCTGCAGCGGCTTCTCATGTGCTTCCCTCGTGGAGCACGGCTGCTCTCTCTTTGTTTATGCTAATGTAATAAACTGTCCCTAGGGAGTTCTGGCTAAACATAATATTAAATAGTCAGCAACATAATCAATTATTTTACCAGCAGGAATGGCTTGTTTACTTAATCTCTCTTTTAAAAACAGTCATTTCGAAAAAGGCATTTAATACCTTACTTATTTTGACAGCGTCAGGAAACTCCATTGTTAAACAGAAGCATGTTAAATCAAACAGACCTACATACAAGATACGTCAGCTGGATTGACTTTTACAGCATAAAGCTGTAAAAACATTTTATAGGAGGGAAAACCATAGAACAGCCCTGGAAGCGACACTGTGTGGACAAAAGCTCAACCCAGATGAATCAAAGACAGAATCGGACATTAAATACCCAATTTCATTTTAATGCACTATTTTTATAGGACAGGAGTACTTGGAAATGAAACGCTAATGATGGGAAAGAGTATTAAGAATTAATGAATATAGGGAAAAGATGAAAAGCCAGAGATTCTGAATCAGTAAATGTATCGGTTGATTGATTTTGACAGGTGCCGTTTAGTTTTAATGATTTCAAATAACACTTCGTAGTAGGATACTAAAAATCCTGCTGTGTGAGGATGTGTGCATGGTAATAAATCTTGGCAATATGAGTTTCACTATAAATCGTAGGGGCCACATCTTCCTTAAGAGTAAGTCGTTCTTCAGATTTGTAGATCAGCGAACTGAAACTACAGAGGTCTCTCAACTCCTTGATTTAATTTCTTGATCATCATTATTTAGCTCGCATTTAGAATACAATTTCTTTCTGAAGAGAGCACTGAGGACTTTATCTTCTGGATAATATTTCAACCTCTGGTCCCATTTTTTTTAATGTGACTTCGATATGTCAGTTAGCTTTTTGCCTCAGTTTCCCAAGGATGCAAAATAGGGAGAAGAATTTCCTGGTGAAAGAAATAATTAACATATGCAAAGAACTTTACGATCTCCTTATGCAAGAACTCTTCATGAGGGAAAATGTTATGCGTTATGCTGTATGAGATAAAAGAGAAATGATTGAAGATTTCAAACACTGTGGAAGTTATTGAAGAATACAAAAAACATGCCAGAGGGAGATAATTATCTTCAGAAAGACATATATCACCAGACAGGCTATAATACAGTGATGGAAGAAAGATTAAAAGGGAATTCGATGAAGCCTTCGGGGATTTGGGTCCCATGTCATCAGCAAGACTCCTGGGGGACTTCTACTGTAAAACTCTAAATCAAATGTGATCCAGAAGAGTGAATAAAATATCAGTAAATCGAAATCTAAAACGTGAGGCTAGCCAGGTGCGGTGGCTCACACCTGTAATTCCAGCACTTTGGGAGCGATCCAGGCATGCGGATCGCTTGAGCTCAGAAGTTCAAGACCAGCCTGGACAACATGGTGAAACACTGTCTCAACAACAAAAAAATACAAAATAGCCAGGTGTGGGGGCGAATGCCCGTGGTCCCAGCTACTTAGGAGGCTGAGGCGGGAGGATCCCTTGAGCCTGGGAGGTTGAGGCTGCAGTGAGCCATGATTGTGTCACTGCACACTAGCCTGGGAGACAGAACAAGACCCTGTCTCTATAAAAAATAAATAAAAATAAATTTAAAGCATAAAATGTAAAGCCTCTAGCCATCTCCCCAAACCTTTTCATGGCTTCTGTTTTCTTTGGGCCTCTAATGCCTCTTCTATGTGCCATAATTGGTACTTAATTATTGACTCAGACACCTTTTCCCATCCTTCCTTACAGATTCGAATGGCCAGACAATTGAGGAAGGTACGTCGAATTCCTCTCTCCATCACTCTGTCCCTCTTTGGTAATAGATAGAAGTTCTATCTTTTCACTTTACTTAGTGTGTGGGAACCACTCTTGCTCACAAGATGACTTGGTGTTTCATAAATATACAACCCACTCTATGCAGAAAGCATCACACTTTCATCGAGTATTGGGCAGTATAATGTTTCATGTTGTTGAGAAATAACAGAAGCCAAAAGGTTCTTTCTGAAGAGGACCCCGAGAGCTCTGCTCCTGGGTGCGAATTCCAGCTCTATGGCTCCTTCCCCAGATGGCGTCAACAGATCCTCTTACGTAGACTTGCACAGCGACCCACTTGGGAGGCTCGTGTTTGAGTGGATCCGTGTGGTCCAGGAAATGCCTCAGGCTTTCCACTTTTTTCCAGTAATGCTGATCATTTTCTAGTTATAGGAAATTAGAAATTCTCAAATAATAAGTCACTCGAGCAAGAAAAAATATTCTTTTGAATAAATCCTGGATGAGGATCACTGATTTTAGAAACTTGAAACTCACGGCCACTTCAAGAGATAAACACTGAATGTGTAGTCGGGGCGGCAATGTGAGTGGCAGTGCTGGGTACACACTAAGAGCTCAAAAAACACTGCACAGAGAGGAATGCGTTGAAAGAGAGAGACCCATACATACTGTTACATGATACGGGCAAATCCAACAAGATTCTCTTATGCAATCCGGATAAGAATTCAGGTTACCAGAGTTGGATCTCAACCACCATTACTAAAAATTCAACCTTGATACAAGGTAACAAATATCACATTTTTCAGGCTGAGTATTGTATACAATTGTGCTCTCTAAGCATACAGGGAGCTATGTCCATTTTTCTTTTCTTTTCTTTTCTTTTTTTTTTTTTTTTGAGACGGAGTCTCGCTCTGTCGCCCAGGCTGGACTGCAGTGGCGCGATCTCGGCTCACTGCAAGCTCCGCCTCCCGGGTTCACGCCATTCTCCTGCCTCAGCCTCCTGAGTAGCTGGGACTACAGGCGCCGGCCACCGCGCCCGGCTAATTTTTTTGTGTTTTTAGTAGAGACGGGGTTTCACCGTGTTAGGCAGGATGGTCTCGATCTCCTGACCTCGTGATCCACCCGCCTCGGCCTCCCAAAGTGCTGGGATTACAGGCGTGAGCCACCGTGCTCGGCCGCTATGTCCATTTCTCAATTTGCTTTTAAATATAAATTAATCATTAACCCCTCCCAAGGCATTAGAAGTGAGACAAACCCTGTTTAAAAACTCTCCAATTACCTTCTCTCCCATGGATGGAAATATGCATGCTGCTGCTTCCAAAAGGAAAAAAAGAATTCTTCTAATAAATACCTGGCTGATTTGCAACTGTTTGGAACATCAATTGAGAAATTGAAATGATGGATAATCATAATGTAGAGCGAAGCTGGTCCATTTAACATTCATCTTTTTAGAAGAGAATTACATTTTCAATACGGCAGTAATTATCATAACATGGAGAAGACAGCCTAAAAATTTTTTTTTTCCTGCAGTTGCACTGGAGAATTGGAGGAAAAAAGTTGATATTAGGAAAATTACCCTTACTAAGGGAATACATTTTCCCAAGAAATAGTGAGGGTCTGTGGGGATAAGCATGGCTGGACATTAATTAATTATGGACTTCAGTTGGTTATGCAGAAACTGAAGTTATTCCCCATTTCCGTATCATTGTAATCCCCACTTACAGCCACGCACATTACTAACACACACAACGATCAGTGTAAAACAACATGTAAAACAATTTTGTATTTGTCCCATCCTAGTTTCCCATTTGGATTTTAGTCTTGTCTGTATCAAGAATTCGCCATGTGGCCGTGGTGGCTCACGCCTGTAATCCCAGCACTTTGGGAGGCTGAGGCAGGTGGATCACCTGAGGTCAGGAGTTCGAGACCAGCCTGACCAACATGGCAAAACCCCATCTCTACTAACGATACAAAAATTAGCAGGGCATGGTGGCCTGCGCCTGTAGTCCCACCTACTCGGAAGGCTGAGGCGGGGCAATCGCTTGTACCTGAGAGGCAGAGGTTGCAGTGAGCCGAGATGGCACCACAGCACTCCAGCCTGGATGACAGAGCAAGACTCCGTCTCAAAAAAAAAAAAAAAAAAAACAACAGAATTTGCCATGTGAGCTTAGCTCCTTTACTGCACTCAGTGTTTTCATCATCGTTAAAGCAAGGAGATTAAAATAGATCAGTGTTTCTCAAACTTTCAGGTGCATTTGAACCATCTGGGGATCTCGCTAAAATGTGGGCTTGAATTCAGGGGGTCTCTGGGGTGGGGTGCAAGAGTCTGCATTTCCACCCAGCTCCAAAGTTATGCTAATGATGCCAGTCTGAGGGCCACATTTTGGGTCATAATGGGAATTCACAAGTTTCCTTTCATCTCTATGTTTCTTTAGATGACACAGGGATTCTTGTTTTTGTCATCATGTTGTTTGAATTGTTCATGGAGTTTAGCTCACTACTTCTCATCTTGCCTTCTCTTATCACCCTGCAAAGGCCCGCCTTAGGTTTTGCTTTTAATTGTTTATAGTGTGTGTTTGGCATCTCTATCAGATGCTGGACACAGTCCATTTTTCATGAAAGCCACAAGCTTGGAAAATAATACATTCAACTCACCCAAGTTGCAGGCCACAGACCAAGGCATTTATCCAATTGCCTCACGCTCCAGCCACATTCCCTGTGATACCTTTCCATGTTCTTTGAGTACTTGATTAACAGTCATGAAATGAAAAATATTCACTGTGTTTCCTTTCTGTCACTTGGACTGTAGTTGTCGCCTGCCAGTGAGGCAGCTTTTGAAAGTTTTCAGGTGAAAGAGTGTGGCCATAGCAGGGCTGAGATTCAGAGCTCTCAGTTCCACTGGTGATGCAAGACCATTCTCTTAGGCACAACGATAGCCATGTGCCTTATTAAAGCAGTGGGTCTATTTTTATCTATACGCCATAAAACACTTTCAGATGCCTAGTTGAAAGGTACTGGGTTACTAACATAGGGCTAGGCTGCCTGGACCTGGGACCCAGCTTAGTTCTCTCCCCCATGGGATGATCTTGGGCAAATTACTAGGGTGGTGCAAAAGGAATTGCAGTTTTTGCAAAAAAGAAAAAAAAAAAGGCAAAAACTGCAACTACTTTTGCACCAACCTAATGCTTATTCTCTCTGTGCCTTGGTTTCCTTATCTGTGAAATAGGAACATTTTTCACAGGACTGTTAAGAAGATTAAGTGGGTTAATTCCCGTCAAGTACTGAGAAGTATACTTAGCGCACAGTGAGTGCGATACAGGCATCGGCTAACGTTGCGATTCAAGATCCAACTATTAAATCTTGTTTCAGACCATATCACTTACTTTTCCATGCAGCAAGTATATATTTCCTGCTTGCTGTGTACAAATTATTATTTAACAGTTACTTAAATCTTGATAAATTGTAAATATTAGAAATTAAAATCTTATAACTATTGTATTATATGTAGGCAGTATGGAGGACATAAAATTGTGTTGCACCTCAAAAAATGTGCAGTCTGGCCGGGTGCGGTGGCTCACACCTGTAATTCTAGCACTTTGGGAGGCCCAGGCAGGTGGATCAGTTGAGGTCAAGAGTTCGAGACCAGCCTAGCCAACATGGTGAAACCCTGTCTCCACTAAAAGTACAAAAATTAGCTGGGTGTGGTAGTGCATGCCTGTAATCCCAGCTACTGGGGAGGTTGAGGCAGGAGGATTGCTCAAACCCAGGAGGTGGAGGTTGCAGTGAGCAGAGATCACATCACTGCCCTCTAGCCTGGGCAACAAAGCCAGACTGTGACTCAAAAAAAAAAAAAAAAAAAAAAAAAAAAAAAAAAAAAAAAAAAAAAAGTGCAGTCTGCTAGGCGCCGTGGCTCATGCCTGTAATCCCAGCAGCACTTTGGGAGGCCAAGGCAGGCAGATCACCTGAGGTCAGGAGTTTGAGACCAACCTGGCCAACATGATGAAACCCCGTCTCTGCTAAAAATACAAAAAATTAGCAGGGGGTGGTGGCTCACGCCTGTGAGCTACTCGAGAAGCTAGAAGCCAGGCAGGAGAATCGCTTGAACCCGGGAGGTGGAGGTTGCAGTGAGCAAGATGGCACCACTGCACTCCAGCCTGGGCAACAGAGTGAGACCCTGTCTCACAAAAAAAAAAAAAAAAAAAGTACAGTTCAGGCCATGTAATTCCAGCTACTAGGGCAGCTGAGGCAGGAGGGTTGCTTGAACCCAGGAATTTAAGACCAGCCTAGGCAACAGAGTGAGACCCTGTCTCTTAAAAAGAAAATTGTAGTCTTATGGGGAAGAAAAACATGTACTTAAATATATGTAATATAATAATAATAAAGAAGGGCTATTACCTACTAAGGAGTTAAGTAACACATTTGGTATTTCCTGCCCACTGCTCTATCGCAAAACAAAAAAGAAAATCCAAGTCGTCGTATTATTGTTTCAGTCCT
Organism: Homo sapiens; assembly: GCF_000001405.40. NCBI lineage: Eukaryota > Metazoa > Chordata > Mammalia > Primates > Hominidae > Homo > Homo sapiens. The sequence continues at coordinate 7,427,288 of NC_000010.11, read as the reverse complement.
TCCATTTTATTTAACACCTAAAGACTTAATTTTAATCTTGCAGAAATTATTTTTTCAAAATGGAACTACTATTATTGTTTTTCTGATTATAAAAGCAATATACGGATAAGCATAAACTATCTCAGGAAGATTAGGGAAGACAGAAGTAACAGTGATTACCTTCTGGAAGGCACTACAGGAAAAGGGAGCCTTAATTATTATTGTTTACTCTTTTGTATGCTTCCAATTTTGTACCATATGCAGGTATTGTCTACTAAAAATAAATATTTTTTTAATTAACAGAGGTATGTTTGTTATGTGACACATGGTATGAAAATTATAAAGTAGAAAGTAATATTACTTATACTACTACCACGTACTTAGCGTTTTCACATCTGTGATTCCAGGCATATATAAATGCATTTTTTTACAAAGACAAGATCATGGTATACAAAATGTTTTAAAAATGCTTTTCAGGTCAAAAAAATACATATCTACAACATCATTCGTAATGATGCCCATATTATGTCCTATTGTGTGCAGGTACTTTAGTTGATTTAATCAACCCTGTCTAGGTGAGTATTTTCAACAGTTCTGTGATGAAAACCCTTATTCGTGCATATTTATGTAATTGTCTTGTTATTTTCTTAGACAATACTTACAGAAGTTCAATATCTGGGCAACGGATATGCTTACAAAGTTGAAATTTAAAAAAGGCATAGAATGACTAAAGAAATGAGTCATTTCTCCCCAGGTGTCCCTCCATGGAACAGAGGTGCATTGTGGTTTATATGTAGGAACTAAAGGGATAATATCTCTTGTCTCCCGTGGCTGGAAGGGATGAGGGTTGTTTACCTCCAGCATCATCTATAGATTGCCAGGTAGGAACATGGTGGAAGGGATGAGATTGGGTCTTGGAGATAAACTATGGTTGATGCTCCCGGTTGAATTTCATTTTTGTGTCTCTGCTTTCTGGAAGGAAATCCCTTACTCCACTCTTGAAGCTTTGAGTTATTTCTGAGAATGGACTCATGCGCTGCTAATGTTGATGTCATAGTTAATGTTTTCCTTAATGGCAAGGGGGTAGGTAGAATTGGAAGGGGATCAGAATAGCTCTGTAGATCTCTGAGCCTGGATGACACTTAGCATCTAAGTAGGAGAGTGAAATAGAAATTATTAGATTTATAAGGCCTAATGGCAACTTTAGTTTTTTTCTGTCTCTTTTTTAATACAAAGAAATTTGGAGTGCAAGAGGTTCAATCCTTCATTCAAGCTTATAGAGCCGATGAAAGGCTGAACAGGAAGCGAATGCAAACCTAAATTGTGGTTCAGCATTACCTGCATGACACCATGTAAACCCAATTGTGTAGAATTACTGTACGCGATCATGGAGAATTACTAAAGACTAGACATTAACTAGCAGAATTTACATGATCACATTTTACTAATCTATGTAGTAGTCATCTTTAGTGTAGTCAATGCTCCTGTTTCTCTCTACTTACAATGACCTATAAAATAAGAGTAGGAACATGGCTTACATTTCAACCATCTTGAGATGTAGATCAAGCTACTTACATCTGAGTTGGATGGGAAGCTGGTTTCTTGCTATTTACGTTGGTCAGTTTTTCATTTAGGATCTTGCTTTTACTGAACGGGGCAACAAGTGAAAGTTGAGTGTCTCCTGCTGCTGAGCTCTGGTCTTCCAATAGAGCAGAGTTACTGGGAAGGTTTGAGCTGACATCCAGCAGTGACCCTTAACTCCTGGAGGTTCCTGCATGTGTCAGTCCTAATGGAATTCACTGGGTTTTTAAAGGATCCACTCTCTACAAGTGCGGGTTTATAAATGTGGGATTATAATCAGAGGACTATTAAGGTAACTAATGAGGCAAGGCTTGGATCATGCCTGCAATCTACTTGGAAATCTATTTTTAAAAAATTTGAGAGCAAAAAGTCCTTCAAAACACTTTTTTTTTCTTTTTTTGGAAGCATAGAAAGTCAAGGGAAAAAGGAAGACAATTTGCAACTCTGGCCTCAAATCCTTTTTGGAACCATGGCAAGGATCAAACAAATGAGGTTGTTTTTTCATAAGGCAAAGTGTTTCACTGCAAGACATCTCTCCGTTTCTCCCATGCTTATGTACAAGAGCCTTCCTAAACCACAATGCACACCCTCGCCTCTCACTCAAGTGTTCTGAAGGCGTGTTGCACTTGAATATGTTCCTGCTTTGTGTACAAATGCAGATTATATGAAATCTATCATTAATGCAAAACATTCATGTCAGCCTTATTCAGAGATAGGCTTTGTGTTTGTGATACTTCTTTCCTCTTTTATTCAACAAATATTTACTAAGTATCTACTGTGAGCCAGATCATGTTCTATGGGTTGGGGATACAGCTAGAAATAAGATAGAGTCCCTACTCTCACGGTACTATTGTAGTGGGAGAGACAGAACTCATAAGGAAAAAGCAACGTGATACTGGTGATGATAAGTATCAGTCAGAAAAATAGAGCAGGGTATAGGGCCCTGGGGGATGAAGTGTTTGCAAATATAGGGTGATCGGAGAAGCTGAAACCTGAAGGGGATAGAGGAACAAGCAAGCCAGCATCTTGAGCAAGAGTATCCCAGGGACAGAAGGCAGTAGATGCAAGGGTTCTGAGAAAGGAGCACAGTCTGCCTGTGCAAGGAACAGCATTAGACCTCGACTGGAGTCGCCCCAGCAGCGCCAGGGCGCAAGTTTACTAGACAAAGCAGCTGGAGGGGAAGCGGGTAGCAGAAGCAAACAGGCCGTGCCGAGGACTTCAGCTCCACCTCCCGTCGGGTGGGAAACCACTGCAGCGTCTTGAGCCAGGACTAGTGTGATCTGACTCACTTTTTGAGAGCTCACCCTCTTGCCTCTGTGTCGTGAACCAAGGGTAGGATGTGAGAGTAGACTCAGGGAGCCCAGTGAGGATGTGCCTGCCATGAGCTCATCCGAGTCTGGGGGTGCTTGGTGACTTGGTTTAGAGCGGAGCAGTGCTCAAAAGGTAAAAACTCAAAAATTCAGTGCGTGTTTGGAGGTGGAGCCCAAAGCACTCAGCAGCATCTGTTGAATAGGGCACCACCATCTGTTTACCGAAACAAGACTAGAATGCAGTAGAATTGTCAGAAATTATTACTAAAGTATAGTTGTCACTGGTGTGGCAGTTTATAAATATATTGGTCAATAAAAAAAAGAAAAGATAGTTGTCTTTAGTGACTGATAATAAAAGAATATGGTATAACATACTGTGAAGAAATACCAGAGCAGAAAACTGGGATGGAGTGGGCCACTGACCGTATTGGGGTTTACCCCCTCAATTCAGCAATATTAAGAATATTGAGCACAGTTCACATTGGGATGGCTCGTTGAAGCTGGCAAAGCTGCAGAGTTGGCCATGAGAACGACTTTGAGATCTTTCCTTCTACCCCCAGGGTTCTCCAGTTTGAGAGTCTCCAGGCAAGCCCCAGCATCCCCCGGATTCTTATGTCACTAAAATTAAGTCGATGAAAATAGCCTTCTTATTCAAAGCATCTGCAGCTCACCCCTGCAGCTTCCCCCCAGCAGGATGTCTCCTCCTGTCCCAGAATGACAAAACTCAAAGTAAATAAACCCAGGAGTGCAAACAATGGATATGTGGAGCACGTCAGTCACTCGGAAGCTGCATAAACAACCTTTGCTTTCAAAAAACAAAATCTTCATTGTCCCTTTTGGTCCAAGAAGCTCAGAACGTAATGGAACTGTAATGACTTTCATACCATCTTTCCAGAAATGTGCACATGATACTATCACTCTCATTTACAGAAAGGGAGAGAAGGAGACGTATCACCACGTAGTTTACCTTCAGGTCAATGCCAAAGCCAGGATCTAATTCTGCAAACATTCGTGGAGCTCATTCTATGTACCAATGACTATGGTCTATCAGACTCAGGTTCTAATTTTCAGACATGTATTTTTTCACTACTAAAAAATTGCTAAACATTTTTTCTTAGTTGGCAAAAGGAATGAAGAAAAAAACACCTGGTATTTTTTTAAACTGGAAAATATTGGCTCATTCAACATGGTTTATACTATTTAGAGGCAAGAGAAAAAGAGATGGAGATATTTCTGTCTCAAATAATTTCCTGGCTTTCCAAATTTTCCTTTCTTCATCCTCCTGCTCCCCCTCCTCCTTTTCTTCTGCTTCTTCTCCTTCTCCTCCTTTTCTTTAGATGCTAAAGGCATGCCAACAAAAGACTCAGGAGAAATGCCAGCCATACCTTAAAGTTCTGTAGCTCTGTACTTCCTAAGAGCTCAAAGCAGTTGGAAACAAGAGAACACATACAAAAGCAAATGGTGTCTAGCACGATGATTGGAATAAAGCAGTAATAAGTCGCAATGACCCCGATGATAGCATTGTCTTACAACATGCCCCAGGTAGGAAGGCACCAAGGTAACCATCATTATCAGTGTCACTTTTCCTGAGGACTATCTTTGACAAAAATAGATTAAGTTGTTTGTCCAAATTCACATGAATCAAGATTCAATTTGAGTCTTGAGACTTTTGCTAGTCTCTTCCATTTCTGAATTCCAGGTTAGCCTGTTCCTATGGGCTAGAATTGGAAACTTATTTTATTATTAAAGGGAGTGTAAAAAAATGTTTTTTAGCACCCAACTCAATGCTCTGCTCTGGTCACTGGGCATATTGCAACCTTCTAATTCCTCTCAATCCCATAAAGTAAGAGGTTATTTCTTTTCTTTTCTTTTTTTAAGATGGAGTCTCACTCTGTCGCCCAGGCTGGAGTATAGTGGCGTGATCTCGGCTCGCTGCAACCTCCGTCTCCCGGGTTCATGCAATTCTCCTGCCTCAGCCTCCTGAGTAGCTGGGATCACAGGTGCAAGCCACCATGCCTGGGTAATTTTTGTACTTTTAGTAGAGACGGGGTCTTATTATGCTGGCCAGGCTGGTCTTGAACTCCTGACCTAGTGATCTGCCTGCTTCGGCCTCCCAAAGTGTTGGGATTACAGGTGTGAGCCACCATGCCCAGCCAGTAAGAGATAATTATGTCCATTTCACAGATGGCCAATCTGAGGTTCAGATAAATTCATTGACTTGCAAATAATCTATTTAGGGGCACCATGGGATTTGAATCCAGGTCTCTTCATTCTTTATTCTTTTGTTCACTACTCTGGTCTGCAGTATTATTCTATAACTACTCATTTCATAGGAATTTCTTTTTAAGAGATGGAGGTCTTGCTGTGTCACCCAGGCCTAGTGCAGTGGCACAATCACAGCTCACTGAAGCCTCGAACTCTGAGGCTCAAGTGATCCTCCTGCCTCAGCCTCCCAGGTAGCTGGGATTACAGATGCAAGCCACCATGCCTGGCTTCGTGTAAATTTATAACAATTTGTTTAGGAATATGCTCTCACTCCCATTGTCTGCTTTTCAAATTGGTCAGTAAAATTAGCTATCCTTTCAGGGTTTGACAAAGATTAAGTTTCATGAAAGTAATAAAGCATTGGTATATGTGAAGGCTTTGTTTTCAATGAGTACAATATGACTCAAGGCCTTTTAATATCTTATGAATCAGCTGCTAGCTACATTCTTGTTTGGAATATTTTATTTGCATTGTCAGGAAGATGTAACTATTGACTAATAAAACAAAGAAAATAGAAAAAGCCAGAAGGGAAGGCTGAAAGAGCAATTACAGAGGGTGCAAGTCCATGGAAATGTAGAAAACAAATCTGGGATATGATCTGATTTATAATCAATATAGAATTATTGGCCGCATATTGAAGAGTACTATAAGCTTATACTAAAATGCTACGAACGATGTGTATTTTGAACAGGTGGCAGATGAGTAGATGGGGAGATGGAGGAGGTCATACTTCTGAAGCCTCTGTTAAGTGCCAGCCTCCCTCTCTGAAAGAGAAATTTAGTCTTTATAATATTTTGGTGGGTAGGGTAGGGGTAAGTTTTCTTAGTCCTTTTTTTTTAAACAGAGGAAACTGAAGAGGGTAAGGAAGAGGAAGAGACAGGGAAAAAGAGAGAGAGAGAGGGAAGAAGCAAAACTAATAATGGCAAAGCTGGGATCTAAGTCCAAGATCATCTGTCTTCCATGTACAGGCTCTCTCCACTCTAACATGCGGCCTCATGGTGCACATGTGCATCCAGCAGAACCATGGGGGTTTCCAAAGGCCTCTGGTGAATTTTGTAAAAAGATAATAACCACTGGCTTTTAGTAATGCCTTAGGGTAGCTCAAACTTCAATCAACACGAATGATTTTGACTCTTAAATAACATGAACATGAGAACATATATGTGCCATGTAACGTGATGCAGTGGTCTTAGACCTTTTTGGCACCAGGGACTGGTTTCGTGGAAGACAATTTTTCCATGGATGGGCAGTGGGGGATGGTTTTGGGATGATTCAAGTGCATTACATTTATTGTGCCCTTTATTTCTATTACTATTACATTGTAATATATAATGAAATAATTATACAACTCACCATGATGTAGAATCAGTGGGAGCCGTAAGCTTGTTTTCCTGCAACTAGATGGTCCCATCTGGGAGACAGTGACACCCAAAGTGTGTTGTTTATGTCCAGCCTACTCCATAATCTCATTTCGGTGGCTGTCACTGCAGAAAACCCTGCTTCCCAAAGATAGGGGGTTGTAGATGGAAGCAGGCTCTTCAGTGCTTTTGTGGCAATCTGAGGATATTCCCCTTTGACTTTAACCCAGAATGTATGGAGATTTGAAGTTGTCTCAAACATACTTATAAGGCCACCAGATGCAGCTGTATGATTGAAGTATATCAACTCACCTGTAAAGCCTGCCACCAGATGAAGCTTAATTGTCACTTGCCACTCACCCATAGGGTTTTGATATGAGTCTGCAAGTGATTTATTATGGTCTCTGTGCAGTCAGACCTCTCTGCTAATGTTCATCTGTATTTGCAGCTGCTCCCAGTGCTAGCATCACCACATCAGCTCCATCTCAGATCATCAGGCATTAGATTCCCATAAGGAGCACGCAACTAAGATCCTTGGCACGTACAGTCTGCAATAGGGTTCATGCTCCTATGAGAATCCAGTGCCGTCACTGATCTGACAGGAGGTGGAGCTGAGGCGGTAATGGGAGCAATGAGGAGTGGCCGTAAATACTGATAAAGCTTTGCTCGCTCACTGGACCACTGACATAATGGCTCTGCTACTCTCTAGCTGGTTATGTCAAACAGCTACGTAACTCCTCCAGCTCGTGGTTTTCTCATCTGCAAAGTGGGTATGATGACAGCAACTATCTCCTGGGATTCAATGAGGTTAAATTAAGACAAATGAACATCAGCACTTGGTACAGAGCCTGGCATGTAGTGTCGTATTGTTGTTGCTATTATCCCATTCCAAATATCCTCATCACTTTTTATTCTCAAACTTAGTTCCATTCAGGCCACAGTCACAATTCCTTCTATTTTCAACCCATTTTTAAAAATTAGCATTGGCATTGCTCATGAGCTTGCCCTGGCCCTCCTTTGCATTTTAGCCTTTTCTTCTGTTGCTAAATGATCCATGTTCCTTCAATCTTCCGTCCCATACATTATCTTTAGTCTCTGGCATCTCTACTATCATAAACTGTGGGAATGGAGTTTAGGGAAAACGTGCCCAGGCTCTAGAGTCAGACTGGCTGAGTTCAAGTTTGGGCTCCAACACTTACTAGTCAGGTATCCACAACCAGATGGCTTAATCACTCTCAGCCCCTCCCTCAGTTTCTTTGTCTATAAAGTGGGGACAATGACACTGCCTACTAAACATGCTTGCTGTGGGGTTAAATGAGGTAGGATACATAAAGCTCTTGGAAGAGGGCTTGGCACAGAGTATGTGCTCAATCAATGTTAACTGTTGTAATGAATTCCATAGCTTAAGGAATTGTGTCATTAGCAAGTGTACTCTATTGTTTGCTCAGATGCATTTGTATATTTTCTAGATTTTTTCATTTGTGCTATCCCTAAGGAATTGATTTCTGATTCGGCATAACTGCAAACCAAGAAAGGAATGAAAGGTGAATAAGAGCACTTAAACATTGGGGTCTTTCAGTTGCGTGAGCTGCTCTGTTTCCATTGGTTTAAAGACATAGAGAAAACACAGTTCCACTAACCATCCTGTGCTTGAGGAGTTTTTATGTAGGTGAGATCAGAGTGATGAATGATGATGGATGGATTCATTTCAAGTCCATTACAGAGCCAGCTTTACATGGACGTTTACATGGGATTCCTGATCATAGAGGCCACAGTCTAGTGAGGAATAGGAAGAGGGTGACACTTTTGCCTTCCTCCATTGCCATGCAAGCCACCCAAGCACCACAGAACAGAGAAATGGCTTCAGTTCAGTGTAAGGATGAATTTGCCAAGAGGAGTCAAAGGTGGAATGAGCTATCTCTGGAGGGAGTGAAGAGTGAGGTGTTCAAGCAGACTGCATGGTCATTTGTAGGGATAATGATAAGGTTTGGCTGTGTCCCCACCCAAATCTCATCTTGAATTACAATCCCCATAATCCCCATGTATTGAGAGAGGGACTCAGTGGGAGGTGATTGGATCATGGGAGCAGTTTCTCCCATGCTGCTCTCGTGATAGTGAGATCTCACCAGATCTGATGGTTTTATGAGGGGCTCTCCTCCTTCGCTTCACACACACACACATGCTCTCTCTTTCTCTTTCGCTCTGTCTCTATTGCCACCATATAAGACATGCCTCTTCCCCTTCGGCTGTGATTGTAAGTTTCCTGAGGCCTCCCCAGCCCTGCGGAACTGTGAGTCAATTAAGCCTCTTTCCTTTATAAATCAATTACCCAGTCTCGGGTATGTCTTTATAACAGTGTGAAAACAGACTAATATAGATAATGTAGAGGGGAGTTGGGCATGAGAGAGATGGCAGACCAGGTGACCTTTGTGGCTCATTCAACCTAAGAATCTAATTAAATTCAGGGAAACTGGGTTTGATCCCTTGGAGAACGCTTGGATTTGCTGTATGTGTTTGAACTGACCACTCTGTGTTTTCTCCCATCTGGGAATACTGGCACTTCTTGCTTAAGTTAGAAGTTACAAGTTAATAGCTTATGCCTGTGGTGTTAAATATCATCAAACTTTTGTATAATTTATTCTTTCTTTCCAATGGAGCCAAGACAATATCAAGATCTTTGTACTTACTTTTCCTGCTGTCTGGAGCTCTCTGTTCAAATGCCACTTCCCTGACCCACTTTCATAAAAAACGTCATCCTCCCCCAACACCATACTTGTCATTGTCACTTCCTGTACCTCCCCCTGCTTTTACTCTTTTCCATGGCACTGACATCCACATGACATATTAGATATTCATTTCTTTGGTGTTGATCTGTCCTTGATGAACTATAAGTGTCATGGAACAGGGCTTCATCTGTCTTGTTCACTGTATTTCAGATCCTACAACAGTGCCTGGCACACATCTGGTCCTCAGTAAATATTTGTTGAATGAGAAAAATGTAAGCAGAGATTGGTTTTTATTTTTCATTAATCTTCCTCTATATCTAATTTATGTAAGTTTCTCTTCAAAAAATTGATTGAAAAATCTTTTGAGTTTCCCCCATCCCCAAGGTATGAAATTAAAATGAAAATCTTCAAGAATTCAGCAACGATATCCATTTCAGAGGCACTTACAAGGGTTAAAAAAAATCAATCTTTAAAGGGATAAGAAAAAAACCATAGTGCTATATTAAAAACTGGTTTAAGTGACTCATTTTAAGAAAAGGAAGCAATGTTACTTTTCAAAGAAACATGTAAGTACTCTTTATGTCTAACATTCAAAGGATGAATGATTTGATAAGAATACAATTCAGCTTATTTGTAGCTAGGGCTTCTAAGCCATCATCTATAATCAAATATAGTAAGAACCAAATTCTTCCCTTACTACTGATATCTGTATTCTTCAACGTTCTTTATTTAAAAAAATAAAATAAACAACAACAAAAAACTATCTAAAAAATCTAAAAGCAAGTCAATGTCTGTTTCCAGTAGATGGCACTGCAAATCAAGTCTTTGTAGATCTACTAACTATCACTTCTTTGATCATGATAATAATGATTTATTCTGTACTAAGATCATCTAAAGCAGCTTACACAGTGAAAACAAATAGGATGGCGATGCTGAAGCTACATGAAAGCTGAGATAGTCCAGCTCCCTAATACTGGTATCTCTCCTCTTGTATACCATAGCCGGGCACTTATTAAGGTAGTGGGTGAATGTAACAAATTGTCCACTGTGCTTATTCATGGAAGTGCTTTTTCATGTGGGATTTTTGGTCGCTTGTTTTAGTTTGTTTAGTCTATTTTGCAGTATAAATTCAATGGGACTCTTGATGCTTTTACATGGTGTCAAATTCAACCTCATTCAGGCCAGTTATCATTCACAGAGGAAATACTGCTCTAGGGTCACAGACCCACATCTCTGACCTGCACTGTGTTTATGGTTGTTTGTTGAGGCATGATCTTGCTCTGTCACCCAGGCTGGAGTGCAGTGGCATGATCATAGTTCACTGCAGTCTCTACTGCCTGGGCTCAGGCAATCCTCTTGCCTCAGCCTCCCGAAGAGTTGGGGCTACAGGTGCATGCCACCATGCCCAGCTAATTTTTATTTTTTGTAGAGACAGGGTCTGGATATGTTGTTCAGGCTGGTCTCCACCTCCTGGGCTCAAGTGATCCTCCTGCCTCAATCTCCCAAAGGGCTGGGATTACAGGTGTGAGCTACTGCACCCAGTTGGGGTGTGTGTGTTTTTGCCAATAGATACCCTCAGTCATAAAGGGGTAAAATTAGAAAGTGTAAATGGTTCCAGACAACTCAAGTTCCACAAGAAAAAACCGAGATGCAACCTGTGTTTCAATGACAGTGACAGTGGATGAGGACTCAGCTTTATGTGTAAAGAAATATACATTTAAAACATATTTTCAAACCATTTAAAAGGGATATTACACATAATACAGACTAGGAGTTATGAAATGTTATCATATATGTAAAAAATACCTGGAATAGTGTCTGGAGCAAAGTAGATACTAAATAAATCCTCTGTCTCATTTTTGCTGTCTTTAAAAGGGCCTGAGAGCCAGTCCCTGCTCGGTAACTCTGTCCTTTAAAAGGCCTCTGTCATTTAATCTCTCTGGACTGCAGCTCTCAAAAGGGCTGGAACTGAGGCCACAAAGTCTAAAATATTATGCCTAATACACAGTAAGATTCACAAATGAAGGGCGTGATACCATGCATCCAGATGTACAAGCCAGCAGCCACAGAAGTTGGGAATGAATTTTGTCATGATGTTCTTCTCAGTGGAGAAAGAAGCCATTAGTCAAAACTGGAACATCCACAAGCAAACCACGTCGGCTCTTTCAATAAATGTCCTAGGAGAGTTCAGACCTCATGTCCTTTTTTTTTTTTTTTTTTTCTCTTGAGACAGAGTCTCGCTCTGTGGCCCAGGCTGGAGTAAAATGGCGCGATCTCGGCTCACTGCAACCTCTGCCTCCTGGGTTCAAGCAATTCTCCTGTCTCAGCCTCCCGAGTAGCTGGGATTACAGGAGCATGCCACCACACCTGGCTAATTTTTTTTTTTTTTGTATTTTTAGTAGAGATGGGGTTTCACTGTGTTCCCTGGGCTGGTCTCGAACTCCTGAACTCAGGCAATCCACCTGCCTTGGCCTCCCAAAGTGCTAAGATTACAGGTATGAGCCATCACGCCCGGCCTTCATGTACTTTTAAAAATATGCCCTGTACCCTATTATTTTTTTCTCTTGTTGTCAAGGAAGCTTGAAATTCCTTCAAATTATACAAGAGTCAATCGCAATAGTGTGTTTCTGAAATTTCTATAAATGTATGAGAAGGTGCTCTCTTAGGTGGTGATATTTTTTGAACCAATACACATCACTACACTCACTGAGAACTCTAGTTATTTTCACAAGCCATCTCAATAACCCCAGGCTTTTCTCAGAAGGACTGTCATAGATACACTCACCAGAGCCCCCACACTTTTATGGGCAACACAAAACTCATACAGTAAATGCAAAAACACAATAATAATCAAAAGAAGGCAAAAATATGACCTGAATGGTACCTTCACTGAAGGGCAGTGAGGCAAAGAAGGCCCTAATACCCTTTCCCTACAAATTCCTTTACTTAATTCTTTTTTATCTTCTGTGACCTCAGAATTTGATTGCTATATCAAATTGGCAGAATACCATATAAAGCAATTTATGGCTTTGAGGTGGGGTAGATTGCTTAGCACTGTTTAGGTCTGAAAGGACCTCACAGAACACCTAGTCCAATCCCCTCATTTTACCCAAGAGGAAAGAACGGCTCAGAGAGGTCACTGGACTTACAGAGGTCACACAGATAATTAGCGATGAAGCAGTGACTGAGGTCACTGGACTCCCAATACATTAACCATTAAGTGCTTTAATTGGGGATAGAAGATAAGGAAAAAAGGTGAAAAAATAAAAGACAGAGTGTATTTAGATTTACTCTTTGTGACCTTAGGATCCTGATGGAAAAATACTATCTTATGTAGCCTAAGAAAAAACAAGTTTTGGTTTCAAGGCTCCAGTAAAGAGAAGGTTGTACAAATTCTTCAAATATTTGGTTCTGGCCTCTTTTTCTCCTCCTTCTGCTTTCCTGTTAGGCTAGTATGTCTAATGGTTCATTAGGGAGTCTCTATATTAAGAAAGCATAATGGTTTATCTTCTATTTTCTTTGGTTCATTTCCTTTTCCCAGTGGGAAGTGATAACTTAAACATGGACTAGGTATGTACAAATTGAACATTTTTCTTGGGTACGACTAATGCAACAAGATTTAAGTAATCACATGTCCTAAATATAAAGAGAATAAATAGTACACATATAATTTTTCAACTCCTCTGCAATAGTTTTTGTGATGTAATGCTTAGGAATATAAGGAAAATGAGACAAAAACTTTTCAATTGTTATTTTATATTTCTAATTTGTGCTGTATCATTAGACAAATGGAATAGCATCTAAATATTTTACAATTAACCAATTAGCCCCATTTATGTTAAAGAATTCCAAAGTCCCTGTGAAGGGATAACTTGATCTGTAGAGTGATGAAATTCATGGCTTAAGCAAAGTTTAGGAGTGAAATAATATCTATAGTTAGTGTGATCAAAGGCTTATTTTGGCCAAGATTTTTAGTAAATATTAACAGTATAGAGAAAAATCTTGTGTTGATAATGAGATTTTCATGACCCTGTTTGAGCTGGAGTGCATAAGCCTTCTTTACTTTAAAAAAGCAGTCACAATTTTTGTCAGTGCGTTATCCTTTGCTGACTATGTGGAATTTTTTCCTACCTTTAATTGATTTAGGGTGCAACCTACATCTGGGTATATATCCCTAAAGTGTCTGGTTCTGAAATAAAAATGAAAGTGGAAAGGTATTGAAGTGGGATGAAGGGGCCACTTGAATTGCCTCAGGGAATCTCCTAACCAATTTTCATTTGCCTCATTGGTGCCCTTGGATAAAAGAGAATGGAGGTCGGTTGCAGAAAAGAAAATCAAGGAATCTTCAAAAAGTCACGTGCAAAAAGCAACACAAAAATAGGAGGGAAGGAGTTTTTTTTTACAATAACAATGCCACCTTTGTGTGCTGCGACTTCCTGATTATATTTCTTAATCACGATAGGTAACCCTCCCCCAAAATCACCATTTTGTGGACCCAGGAGCAAAATTATACGGGGTCTACGTACCCAAAACATTAAAAAAATTCAACTCCTTCGGAGTAACCAGGTAAGATAATGAACGCAGTCATACACTGTTTGGGATCAGGTGTTCTTCTGCATTTGCTTTTATTTGGATGAAAGAATGTTTCGTGCACAATGATGACCTAAAACTGGTAAACAAGCCTGGAGAGAGCGCGGTGGCTGGTTGCAGCTCACGTCTCCACGACTCCTGCAGAAGGAAATTACGTTCTCCCCTTCCCCCCCGCACCCCTACCCCTACCCCAAGCCCCCGGGAAGCCCTGCGCTGGCACCAGGGCAAGCGCCTGTCGGCTCCCGGGAGCTAAGCGAGGCCGCGCGGTCTGGGACGCAAATGGGAGGGAGCAGCCGCTGTCGCCCTGCGGGGCCAGGGCCACTGGGTAGGCGCAGCGCGGGCCAAGAGTGGGAGGCTCAGGGCAGGGGATCCGCACTCGGGGCCATTCCTGCCGCGGCGCGCCCTGCGCTTCAGCAGTGCACAGGGTGGGGACCCCTCGAGGACAGTGGTGCGCCGACGGGTCTCTCGGCCCCTCCCTTTCCACAGGCCCCGCTGTGTGGTGAAGGAGCCAGAAGAGGCGACTTGGGTGTTGAGACCCGGGGCCAAACCGTGGAGAGTGTCTGGAGCCCACACTCCAGATTTCTGGACGCCGCAGTCAGTCCAGCAGGTTCTACCTGGAGCCGCCTCGGGGCTCAACCGGGAGGCAGCGGGGTGCAGGCGAGAGGGTTAATGCGCCCGGTTCGGTTGGTTTGAGGAGTCTCTGCTTTCAGCGACCCACAGGGCAGAGAGCCCAGGGCTCCGGCTTGATGTCCCCAACAGCTGGGGACTGGAGAGCTGGAGGGGTCGCAGACTCAGGCTAGAGTTTAAAGTGCGCCGCGCGGCGAGTCGCTGGACTCTTCTGGGTCTCACGTGGCTCCTGTGTCACATGGAGTGACAGGCCGGCGGAAGGCGCTTTAGTCGTCGCCCAGCGTTCTCCAAGGTGTAAGGAGGCAGGATCTTCCCATACTGGCGGCGCAGGGGGCCTCACGGCTGCGGACGCCCGCCCTGGATCTCTCAGCTCGGCAGATCCTTTGGGTGGAGAGGCGCTCTCCAGGGTCGCGGCGAAGGAGAGCGGCTTCTCGGCACGTCCCTCCGTATTTCTTCTAGATCAGCTCCGGCCCCACCGTCCAGGAGAGGGCCCGCCTGAGGACCTCTGTCTGTGCCGCGCGTGGTCAGCCCCGGTCCCCTCACTCCATGGCTGGCCCCTAGCCCTTCAGAGCGGACACCTCTCCTTAGGGATGCAGGGCGAGGAAGGGCGGGTGGAGCTGCGAACCCACGGGGACCTGGAGGACCTCTTGGCCCCCTGGAGAGGGGTACTATGAGAGGGATTCATGGGACACAGATTTGGGGGACTGGGTAATTTTACCCCCTTTGGCAACCATAAAAACCCTGAGCAAACGTGTCCATTCGCTATTTCGCAGAAATATACAATGCAGGCCCACACAGGCATCTCTGCGAGGCCCCCTAGTTAAGGGCGCAGCGTTCTTCGGAAGCTCTTGGTCTTGCTACCAGGGCGTCACCGGCTTTTCCGCACTGGGGACATTTCGTTTGGGCTCTGCGCAGCCGTTGCACCTAAGGCCCTGGGAGCTCCGCGTTCCTCCCCAGGCGCCCGGGACAAAGTGCCCGAGGGCTCCGCAGACGTCCAGCCCTGCCCGGGGCTCACGGCCGCCGGGGCTCTCCAACGGACCGTCGAGGGCCACGTTTTGCTGGGGTGTGAGCGACGATTCTTTTCCCGCCCTATGAGGCCCGCCACTAGCTAGGTGCCCCATGAGACGCCGTGGCGAGCACGGCTACCTGGCAGCTCGCCCGGGCAGCCCCAACTTAATTTCCTGCCCCTCGGGGCACCTTTCCCTCGAATAGCTCTCCTCGGCCCCTCCAGCCCTGCCCAAGGGGCCTGGAAATGTTCGCAGCTTCAAGAAAGGCTCTATTTAAGCACAGGATGGGGTGGGGCGGGCGGGGCCAAGATTGCCCTGGGGATTGAATTTATCTCCGCTCCCAGCGATCCCCGGCGGATAAAGCGCAAGTTTGTGCACACGGTCGACTGAGCCATTGGAAACCCAGCTCACGAACCGCAGCCAGGGAAACGGGAGTTTGCCCAGTTGTCCTTGCGGAGGGGTGTGCGGAAACGCCCGCGATGGGAACTTTCTGCAGATCATGTATGGAGGGAGCTCACAAAAAGGAGGAAGGGGAGCGCGGTGGGGAGGAGGCCGCGTGGGCGTGGAAGGTCCCAGGGTCCTGGGGGTGCCCGCCTGCTTAGGCGCAGGGAATGGCGCGGAGCTGGCTGGGGAAGGAGCCGATCACGTCCCGCAGGCTAATTGGCTTAAGAAATTTTGCAAGCGCTGGAAAAGGTCGTTGAAGGAGTTCGCTGCACGCGCACGCACACACATACACACACACACAAAATCTTAAAAAAAAAAAAAAAAAAAAAAAAAAAAGAGCGCCGAGCATGCGCACAGAGAGGATGCCATATTGGAATGAGCTGTAGTGGGAGCCGGAGGACCGGAGCGGGCGCGCGAGGGAGGCGGCGGGCGGGGAGCGAGCGGGCAAGGGCGGGCGAGCGAGCAAGCGAGCGAGGCCGGTGCCCTCCCGGGCGGCGACCGGGGCCTGGGTCCACGCCGAGGGCAGGACGAACTTCACCAGGTAGGACGCCGCGCCGGCTGCTGTCCCCGGCGCCCAGGCTGGCCGGAGAGCAGCCCTTCGGCCCGCAGGTTGAGTGCGCTGGTCAGGGGCTTTTTCCAGCCTAGGAAAAAAAAGGAAAAAAAAAAAAAGGAAGGAAGCCTGAGGGAGCTGGGGTTGGAGGTGGCGGGTGGGGGAAGGCTGGGGAGGGTGCAGGGGAGCGAAAGAGAAGGGCAGGAGAAGAAAGCGACTGCACTTGAGCGAAGCTTCAAACTCCTCTGTGCGCTCCAGGTTGTCATTTTTGCTTCCCGGGTCCCCTTCGCCTGCGTCTCCGGGCTCGGAAAAGCCGAGCCGTGCGGGAGTCCGTCCGGAGTTGCAAAGTGTCCTCCTTCCCCGGGCGCAGCCTGTCCCCTCCCGCCGCCCACCTTCCTCGTTTCTGCACTCATTTTAGCGACGCAGCCGCCGCTGCTACCTACCCCGCGCTCCCGCGTCTCCTCCGCGCTGGGGTCTCCCCTTTCTTTTGGTTTGGGTGGGAGAAAAAGATGGTGAGGACGGGGAATCGGAGACCGGCATGGGGGTAAAAATCGTGCAGACATTCGGAATCGCTCCCTTGGAAACATTTGCCTGAGCAACTGAAATAAAATTGGCAGTAGTAGTTTTGGAGCGTGCTCCAGCGAGGATGGTCTTTTTGTTCATTATTTTCTCTTTAAAGTAATATCCTGTCACTTAGGGGCTTTCCGGTTGTCTCCTCTTATTCGACCCCCTTTCAAAATTGCTGACTTGAGCTGGTTCTGGAGTTTATTTTTTAATATGCGTGCGTGGGTATGTGTATGTGTGTGTATGTTTTGCAGAAATCCGCCAAAATGCAACTGTAGGAACTGCGAGATGTATTTATTGATTTTGACCAGGGGCGGTGGGAAGGGGCTGGAGGGAGCTGGGGGATCCTGGAGGGTGGGAAGTGGCTGATTCTCGGTGGCCGGACACTCATCCAGAGCCTGATCCGTACTCGTGTTTTCTTGGAAGCGCCACAACTGCGGGGAAGGAGTCTTTAGAAACCGTGCCAGTTTCAATATGGCGGGCTAAGGTGGCTTTTAAAAACTGAAAATAAAGGTTTTGAGGTGGGAAAAAACCCAGCTGAAGTTTCCACCCCTTAGTTTCGACTCTCTTTGGCTACCCCAGGAAGCGCTTTAGCGAATTAAGTGGGGAAAAAAAGAAGGAATGGGCTGTCCGGTTTTTTTTTTCCGTGGTTAGAGTCTGTGTGTCAAGTCCATTGCTAGGGGGGAAAGGGATGGAGAAGTGCCCCTGGCCCGGACCAGGGCACCGAAACGCAACTGTCGTGTGTGCCTGTGGATTAGTGTGCAGGCCTGCGTGTGCGCAGTTTTTTTGGGTGTGTGTGTCAAAGAGAACCACCCCGAATGTGTGTGTGCGTCTTGGAACCAGACCCTGCCATGATTTGACGTGACAAACTGCGGACACGTGGTGTAAAGTACATGAGGGCAGAGGGAGTGATTTATTTTGTCTTTCTAGGAGACGAGCTAGCTCTCGCCTTGTGTGTGCTGGATCCTGCGCGGGTAGATCCCCGAGTAGGTGGGGCGAGGAGGTGCTTATTAAAAGGACTAACTGTCCCGGGTATTGGGTGCAATCGGGCTGCAGACGCCAGCCGGATTTCGTGTGTGCAGGGGGCGCGCTGCACTTAATAGTGGGCTCCTGCTTTCCTCCACGCCGCTCTGGGGTGGGAGGTGGGGGACCGGGACCGAAGCTTGGAGAAGACCAAAGTGGTGGTGGTGGTGGTGGGGTGGGGCAGAAGGGCGGGAGCGCGCGGCTCTGGGAGACAAGCACGTAGGGTCGAGGCGAGGGGTTGCCTTCCTTACTTTTGGGTTTCGCGCTCTAGGGAAGGTGGGGGATGGGGACAGCGTTTGGGGAAGAAATTGTCCCTTGCTCGGCTTAGGAACCCTCTCGGCGCATCGGAGAGGGGCATCTTCTTGTCTTGGCGGGCATGGAGGCCGGGCAGTCGCCGGGGGATGTGAGTGGGCGGCGAAGTGCGGGGGAAAGGTCGGCGTTCCAGGGCGGGGAGGATCTGGGAGTGGAGTTCGGAGACAAAATCGGGGTCAGGCAGAGGAGCCAGAGGGAAAGCCAGCAAACGCGAGCTCGGGTGAGAGCCACCGGAATGCGGGAACGCAGCTTAGCCGGGAACAGGGTTCCCGACAGGGGTCGCCCGTGGCCAGGACGCGGCCGCTGAACAGAGGTCGCGCGGCGGTTCCTGCCCGAGGGACCTCGTGGGCGGGGGCCACACGGAGGCCGCGCACGGTCCCCGGGGCTGGCGGGGGCAGGTGGGAGGACCTCCTCCGGGCCCGCGAACCTGATCTGGCAGCGGCCAGGTGCCTGGAAGCGTTTTTAAATGATAGGGTTACAAAGACATGTTGGCCAGGTTTGTAGTTAGCGCAGCAACGTGGTTTGCAGGAGCGCAGAACGAGGCTAGACAGGGTCACTCGGACGCCGTGCTGTCAGTGGGTGGGGGCCGGGAGCAAGCGGCACTGGCTTGGAGACCCCGCGGCAGGTGACCCCTCCCACCTGGGCAGCGAGGCTGAACGATGGCGACACGCCGGCCAGGACGCGTCCGTGGCTCCTCCAGCCTGCGTTTGGGCGCGCCCTCCCGGGGCCGGCTTTCCCATGGGCCCCGCGAGGTGGGGAGCAGCCTAAAATGGCTCTGTGCTGCGAAGCTGCAGTTTCAGCCGCGAACCCCTCCCCTTGTCCTCCTGACGTCGCCGCTGACAAGCGCAATTTGCTCCAAGGCCCCGAAACCCGCGATTTTGCACGAGGCCGTGCCGTGGAAGCGGATGTACAGTTGATTACAAAGAACATTCCACAGGGTTCTCGAAGGGCCCAAGTTTTTCCTTCTGGTGGGGAGGAGGGAGGAGCCGAGACTGGGCAGGAGCCCGGCCGACCACCGCTCTGGCACCTAGGGGCTCGGGGCGCACCAGTAGCTGGGGCTGGGGACCTGGATGCGCGAAAAGCCGAGGGAGTTCCCGGGGACGCGGATGGGGACCATTCGGGGCAATAGCCACGGACACCGGTGCTCGTGGTTGATGGCGTTTGTGGTGTCCGAGAATCCCGGGACGACGCTGGAAAGCCTGGGAGACCGTTCTCAAACTTCTGGAGACCAGCTCGCAGTTTCGCTTTCGGAATTTTCAGGATCTTTGGGCCTTTAAAGTTGGGTGGGATTCCAAGAAGGCAAGGCGAGGCTCGTGGCCCTGACGATCGGCCGCCCGACTTCTCGCTCACCCCAGCCTTCTCTACCTTGTCTCCCTGAACCTTGCCGAACCGAGCCGGGTTTGGGGTTCCGGGGCCCCGCGCACCAACCCCAGCCGCGTCCTGAGGGCTCCCGCAGCACAGCCGCGGCTGATCCGAGGCCATTGGTGGGAAACCAATTTAGACGAGGCCGACCCCTCTTGGATCTGGCTCGGTTGCCGCTGCCCACCACTCTCCATCCCCCCTCCACTCTTGCACCGTAGAGAAGGGAACTGGGAGACCTACTAGCGTGTCTACACCAAGGGAAAGAACCCATGTTCCAGCAGGTCGGAGAAAAGGAGAAAACAGGCTTAAATGTGGCCTCGTTTCCTGGGGAGGCTGTTGGGGGTGGGGAGGGAGTTGAGCGGGTAAGTGGGGTGGGGGAGGGGAGAGGCGTTGTTGCTCAGCAGGAATTGTTCCCTAGGCCCGCCCTGGAGATAGGAGGTCTCCTGCTTTTTCCCTACTAAGCATTAAATTTGCACACACTCTGCTTTCTCCCTTCCATAAATAAATACCGTCTCAGATCTTATCTTTGCTCTTGCTGGGACCAAGCTGCCTGCCTGCAAGAGAGTGGGAGACACCCACGCACTTCTCCACTTCCCTCCCCCCCCGCCAACCCTCTAGGTCCCCACCAAAGAGTTTACTGCTTGCAGGACCCATTCTTGGGCCGGTGCAGAACACTGCCCCGAGCCGGGGGTCTCGCAGCCCCCATCCTGGAATAGAGAGTGGTCATCCACTCTGTTCTGATGTGTGTTGCTGTAGAAGTGCCGGTGGAGGCCTGCTGAGGTGGGAACTGTTTCCCATTTCCCATTGGGATACATCCATCCTGAACCTCAAACAGCAGGTCCTGCTGGAGATGCGTTTCAGTAATGATGGAAGTCATACATCGCAGAGTTTTTCCTCTTCCTGCGTTCTTGCAGACATTATAGACTATTTTTTTTAACATTGGTTGTTATAAATAACTGGCTTCACGATTCTTGACTTAAAAGTCAAGACTTTTAAAAAGCCAGAAAAGGTTCCTGACTCTTCCCTGTTTCGTTTTCATCATAAAGCTTTCCTGGGAGTACTAAACACTTATCCATTTTTCCATTGCTGCCCACTCTAGCTAAGGTGGCTTTTTTTTTTTTTTTTAACCACTGCCCCCAAAGGACTCCCACATTTGAGAAGAAATAGTGAGCGATGGAAGCATTGCTTTGAGCAGTAAGAAAATGAGGTTCTATGTAATTGATACAGGATACTTTTGGGATCTAAGAAGTCCGTAAAGGAAATTTACTCTCCCCAGGCCCTACACTTATGCCTAAAAATTTTTGTCAGATTATCAGAGTTTTCTTTTTCTTTTTCTTTTTTTAAATAATTTGAACAAAAATAGTTCACTGTGGGATTTGAATGACCTACAGTTCTAGTATACTAGGGTTGGACATTTCTCTCTTTATATTTTATTACTCTGTACTTTTGAGGTTCATGGGTGCAGTGGTCAGAAGGAAATTTTACTCTGCCCTAAAGTAAGAAGTCATAAAGGTTTTTGTACCAAAATGGCATTGGGACCTGTAATTCAGGATGCATTTTGTGGTTTTTCTAACCATTCTTATATCTATGTTGCCTCAGCAGCAACTTATTGCCCCCATCATACAAATTAAAAAAAAAAAAAAGTTGGGAAATTATGCGTCACAACAAACCAGGAAGTCAATGTGTGTATTCAGTTTGGTGATCCAGGATGTGTTAACACTAGCTGCTAAGGAAGATTCCTGACAGAGAGAGCGGGGGTCGGGGGGGGAATCGGGCCTAGTGTGTAGGTGGACATGGTTCTGTTCAGCTGTGGGATCTGGGACAAGTGAGTCATCTTTCTCAGCCTCAACCTCCTTATCTACAAAATAAAGGTGCTAGCCTGGAATGTCACTCAATGATCACTGTGCTTCTATCTGGGAAAAATACATCTGTGATTCAGTACATCTATGCAGATAGGCCCAAGAGATTCATCTTTCATACTCATGTTCCCCTAAAGGATAATGAAAACCTGACTGGCCTTAGGTGACATCCATGTGCAACCGTGCTTGTGAAGGCAGCAGCTGAGCTGTGGGTCCCTGCTGCAGAGTAAAGTGCTATTGTTAAGTGAGGTAAGCTCCACATGGGGTCGTGTTTTCATCTGTGCTCTGGAAAAGGCGAAGGGTAGAGAAGATGGAGGCTTATACATATGTGGCCTTCCCACATAACCCCATAAAGGTATGGACTGGGTTAGAGCAGTGTGCCTTTGAATACAAGCCATGAGGAAACACCTGATGTCATCTTGTTCTAATAATTTCCAGGCTCAAAGAGACTCTTCCAGATAGCACAGTGTACCCCACCATTCCAGATGGGAGGGTGCTTGGACCTCATGGGTCCATGTTTATGATATGGATGATGATTGCAGCCTTCTGGTAGCCAGCAAGTGAGTGTGAGCATCCACTCTGAAGTTCAAGGTTTTCCGTTCCTAGGGTTCAGGTTTGGCCGCTGGGCAGGTCTTCCTCTCTTTGTTAGACTAAAAATTTCTGGGACAATTCCTAAGAAAAATACTCTCGTTGGCTAAAACAAGTGTTGGCTCTATGTTTAAGTCAAGTGTAAATAAGATGTTTACAAGACTGTAAGACTGTATTGTAAGGAAGGGAAGATAGTCTGCTTAGAACTTTTAGTATAAGAAAGAATGTGTCACATGATTCATGTAATGTTTCCAAGTAAAATCCTTCAGGATTGGTTTTGCATGATCAGTTCATCACTGTGCTGATGAGAAGATGCCACCTTAACACTTCCCATCTGGTTGGCCTGTAGTAAATTTTAAAAAGCAAAAGCGGTAATATGTCAATATGCACTGATGGTTAGGGTCTCTCAGGTTATTGATGAGATGACACGTCTAGGCTTCCATTCATGTGATGAGATAGATGTCTTTGACATTGATTAAAGAAAGAATCCATTGCGTTTTTCTGTTTCATTCCTTTCTCATTTTCTGAAAAGCAAAAATGACACATTTTGATAGATCCAGGGCTTCCTAAGCATTTGGTGACTTCTGCAAAGTAGGACAAATAATGTTAGCAACTGTGATTAGACAGGAAGTGTATGGAGGTGTGGGACATGGGGGAGAAGCGGCAGGTTTTCATCTTGTGAGTTTTTCCCTGTAGTTTTATTGGCCAAGAAAAAGATGTCTTATAAACAGATATTAAGGTATGCCTTCCCTGCTTTCTGCCAAACTTGGCAAGTTGTTTTCTTTCCCCTCCATTTCAATCAACACTACTATATGAACTGAATACTTTAAGGTATGATACAAGAGTGTGGAATTCCAACTCTAGGTTCCTACAAAGTCTTGTTTTAGGTATAACTTAAATGAGCACCTGCAAGGAATGGGACATTTGGATTGTAGGTCTAGAGATTTAGCAGTGAAAGGATTGTGAATTAATCTGATATGAAATTACCTGTTTACTCCAAATACTCTTTATTTTAAAAATATTTTTAGATGTTTAAGAAGCTTTTATGGATACATACTAATCATACATATGTGTGGGGTGCATGTGATATTTCGATACAAGCATACAGTGTGGAATGATCAAATCAGGGTCGTTGGGATCCATTACCTCAAGCATGTATCATTTCTTTGTGTTAGGAGCATTCCAATCCAGTCCTTCAAATACTTTTAAAAATAAAAAAAAGCTGCTTATTTAAATATCTGCTGTTGGCCAGTGACTCTTCTTGTTGCTTCATATTTATATTTCATCTATTTTAGGAGAGTTTTGTCATCCTCCTTTTACAGAGGAAACAGGCATTAGAGAGCTTGAGTTACTTGCCCAGAGCACCAGCCAGCAGGAGAGAGAGCTAGATTTGAAATCCTAGTCTTATACATTGTCTTAAGATTGTAACCTCTTGATTGCTTACTACTGTATGTGAGATACTTGTGTAGCACTTTATTTATTTTTATTTATTTACTTATTTTGAGACAGACTTTGGCTCTGTCATCCAGGCTGGAGTGCAGTGCTGCGATCTCGGCTCATTGCGACCTCTGGCTCCTGGGTTCAAGCAATTCTCCCCCCTCAGCCTCCCAAGTAGCTGGAACTACAGGCGCACACCACCACACCCAGCTAATTTTCTGTTTTTAGTGGAGATGGGGTTTCACCATGTTGGCCAGGCTGGTGTTGAACTCCTGACCTCAAGTGATCCTCCCGCCTCAGCCTCCCAAAGTGCTGGAATTCCAGGTGTGAGCAACCATGCCTGGTCTTGCCTAGCACTTTAAACCATTCACTTACTTAATTTTTGTAGGTGGGGGCTGTTATATTTATTTTATTGATAAGGAGTTTGATTGAGTCTTTGGAGAGGTTATACAGGGTCATTCTAATAGGGTTTGTGTTTAGTAGTTAATTTTGAAATGGGGTAAGACTAGATTGTTCTCTTTTTGTTTTTCGTTCAGATGGCTGTGGGAGAGCAGAGCTTTTCAATGAAGCTTACATTACTGTTTTTAAATGTATAAGTGCAGATGCTCAGTTAGGACACAATGTTGTTTACTGTCGTATGAACTGACCATTTAAGATTTGAAAAGTGTTGAATTTCTGAAATTTCATCTTGATTAGAAAATAATTGGTTTCAATATAAATCAGTTTTCTCCCCCTGAATGTAGGTAAGAATATGTTTTAAATAAAAGCCTTTGGGAGAAATGAAGAAGACACTATCGAAAGCTGGGGGAAGAGAGCTAGAATTTTTCCTTCTAAACAGTGTTGGCCACTGATGAGGACATTTTAGAGTGAACTTTAGTTTTTGGTCTTTTATTGGATTATTTCCTTTTCATGTAGAAAACTGAAGACTGACACCACAGCTGCTCTTTTTGCGAGTCCCAGGTACACACAGTTTTGTGCCTCCTCAGTCTTGCCAGCTGCTTGTAGACCCCTTCCGTGGTACTGTTGGTCTGGGACTATGAAGGTGGAGAATCAAAGGCTCTTGCTCTATATTGGTGGAAAATAACTCTACTTCTTTTAATGGACCAGGGAAAAAGTCAAATTTTGCCAAATTGAAGTGGCTGAATTTTCACAGTTGGTATTATTTTTAGAAAGTGCACTAAATTTGGGGTATTATAAATAAACCATAGTTTGATGGTTGGAGTAAACCAAGTCCTGGGAATTCAGAAACCCCATTTCTGGTTTAGGGCTTTTGGTGTGACCCCGGCTAATCCCTTTCATCTTCACCCTCCTCTATATTTGATTTTTCCTGCGATGGATGGCAGAATAGAATATTTGCTAGGCACAAGTATAGTTTAAAAACCTGCTTTAAAAGGCGGAAGACATGTTTACTTAAGCTTTTGGCACTGGGACAAATATACTATCTTTTCATTAGAGAAAAATCTCTCTGATTCTTTTACAAGGTACACACTTCACAACTATAGAGGAAGCATTTGTATCTGGAGTCATTTTTATTTTTTCCTATCTCCAGATTGGAAAGGACATTTCTTTCCAGGTGGGCTTTTTTTTTTTTTTTAATGTTAAATACTCAGTAGTCACCATCTTGCCTGTGTACCAAACAGAACTACTCCCTGGCAATGCAAGAGCTCTCCGTCTCCTGTCTGCATTATATCTGTCACTGGATATAAATGGTACCAATTGGTACATGGCTTAGGTTGCAGTTCTTCAATTAAAGACAGACATTCGTAGGAGACCGTTCTAAATAGCCTGCAGTTGGTATTCTGTTGGAATGAGATGCATGGTTGTGCGGAACACGTGGAGAAATGTCCCGTGGAATGGCGCACTGTGGAGTTAGCCACAGAAAAAGTCAAGGGCATAGAACGAAAAGCACACTGCCAAAATTTAGCTTGGATGATGGTAGTGTTTGCATTTGTACCTGCAGGAAGAGACTGAGTTCACCTTCCTAAGCACAGAGAAGTGGGAAAGAGGAGTCTTTGGAAGGAGGTTTTGGGGAGGAAGATCAGGGTTGATCCTGAGCCCATCACCCTGTGGATGTCTGAACCAGAGGGCAGAGTTCATGAATAGGCGTGAGGACATCAGAGGGCAACGTTTACTTTCTGGGCAGCCTCCTTCTTTTGTCAATTACTTTCATCGTTGGTTTTAATTCCCTAAGTTAAACTTTATCTGCCTGTGGAGATACTTTAATCATAATTGTTCTTTCATAGTACATATTGTATTTATAAACAAACAGGAGGTGTTAAGATCACTCCTCCAGCTCCGTGTGCTGGAAGCTGTGGGTTGAATCCTGTTGTGTCCTTTGACCTGGATGTATTTGCTCAGAGAAGGTCAACACGAATGTTATGGTTGAGAGGTGTAGTCTGTATCCTACATGTTTGGTCTTTCCTCATCTCACTTGCAGCCTCAGCCTTAATTTTCCCATTGACCTAATGAAAAGGAGCCTTTTAAGGTCCCAAGTGCGTAAAAAGGTGCGTGCTTGAGAGACTTACCACTCGGGCTCTTTTTGGAGGGGATGCTTTTTATTTTTATTTTTTTTTTATGACGGAGTCTCACTCTGTTGGCCAGGCTGGAGTGCAGTGGCACGATCTCGGCTCGTTGCAATCTCCATTTCCCGGGCTCAAGCAATTCTCCTGCCTCAGCCTCCCAAGTAGCTGGGATTACAGGCATGTGCCACCATGCCTGGCTAATTTTTGTATTTTTAGTAGAGACGGGGTTTCACCATGTTGACCAGGCTGGTCTTGAACTCCTGACCTCAGGTAATCCGCCCGCCTCGGCTTCCTGAAGTGCTGGGATTACAGGCGCGAACCACCGCGCCTGGCCGGGGGGGATGCTTTTTGAGATGTTTGCTCTGTGGCAGGTGAGATCCTTGAGACTTCCCAAGGACAGGGCTTTTCTAACTGAGTGGAGGAGGCAGCAGAGGAGGCCCCAAGCCAGGCAGGGCTCTTCTGAGAAGCATTCTCATGTCCCTGTGCTAATTAAAAGGAAAAGAAGTTCGGCCAAATGCAGCTGCCAGGGTTTGCTGTTGAAGCTGACAGCTTTCAAGAGCCTGGGAGGCCTGACGGCCTGGAGGAGCTAATCCCTGCCAAGCCTGTGCCCCCTGCCTTTAGGTGAGGAGATGCCAACCGCTGGATGCCATCAACTTCATAGAAGCCGACAGCTGTGGAGTAATTTGGCGTTTTTTTCTCTTCTCGCCTTCTCCCTAATCTACCCTCTGTGGGACAATTATTGAAAGATAGCCAACCCTGGAATGAGAGATAACCATCACAGCCCTCCACCCTGCTGCTTGGAGAAGGAGATGGCCTTGTACAGAAACAGACAGTGTTTACGGTGAAGCTTGGGATTTGGTCCTTGTCATTCATTGCCTTTAAGACTGACTGAACTGTGCTGTGCGCTTCCCAGAGAGCTGGAAAGTGCAGAACATCCTCTTTCCCTCTTCCTCCCTCTACCGCTGTGAACTTCAGTGGCCTTGTACAAGTGATGAGATTAGGTCTTTGAATAGCCAGCTGGGCACTCAGGGCCACGTGTCAACTGGCCACTACATATTTTTCAGGTTCTCCTGCCCATTTCCCAGTGCAGGCTCTGGGACCAGAGAGGCTGAGCTCACCCTGCCTGCCCCTTAGCCTGGAGGAGCCTCCCATTCCTCCGGCTTGTCAAACATCACAGTTTTCTCCAGACCTGGCTCAGATCCACCTTTTTGATGAAAGCTTTTGTGATCTGGCTCAGACCATGGTGACTATTCCCTTCTTTCAGTCTCTGTTCCATCCTAGTGGATGCTCTATTGTTTCCTCCTACCACATCCTCTTGGTTTTAACAAGGAAGGTGAGTGGAAACCTACCTTCCCTGACATGCTTGAGTGGGAGATGAGAGTGAGGAAGCTTCTAGAACAGTCCCTTCTTTTTGCAGCTGAGGACAGTGTTGCTTGGGGCACTTAAAGGCCAGGAGCACATTCTGGTGCCTGATAAGACGTTAGTTACCATATGGACGCAGGCCTCCTGCCGAGTCCTGCACATTTTCCAAGTTCTTTACTGACCATAGTAAGTGAGGGTGTTTTTATTTACTTTATATAATGATTTTCAGGAAGACTCTAGTAAACTTCCTTCATGCACTTAAATGATATAATTTATAAAATTTGGTGGATAGGCTGGGCGCAGTGGCTCACGCCTGTAATCCCAGCACTTTGGGAGGCTGAGGCAGGCAGATCACTTGAGGTCAGGAGTTCAAGACTAGCCTGGCCAACATGGTGAAACCCCGTCTCTACTAAAAATAAAAAATTAGCTGGGCATAGTGGTGGGCGCCTGTAATCCCAGGTACTTGGGAGGCTGAGGCAGGAGAATCGCTTGAACCCAGGAGGCAGAGGTTGCAGTGAACCAAGATCACGCCACTGCACTCCAGCCTGGGTGACAGAGCGAGACTCCGTCTCAAAAAAAAAACAAAACAAAACCCCAAAAAACTTGGTGGATAGGAGATATCTATGCACTCCAGTTGTAGGAATCTCCAGCTACAATGCAGGAGTGCAGGGCTCCACAGGCGAGGGTTTCCCGCTGGCTGATATCTTCACAGTGTTGGGACTCTTCATCTCTTCGTTATTGGTATTTTGGTTGACAGTGGGAGAATAACTTCTTTTGGTATTTTGGACATTGTGGCACCTCTCAAGCATCATTGCTGTGCGTTTGTTTGGCTTGAAGTGATCAATTCTTAAAATCCACCCAGAAAATTATGCCCTAATTAGGCATTATCCATGCATGTCTGGCTTACAGAAGCCTTCCTTGTAAGTTTCTTTACTTTTTGAGTCTCATGGCGGTATGGACAACACATGATCTACTTAAAATGACTTATCTGCATTTGTATGTAATGCATTACACAAATATTTTGGGGAATATAAGGTTTACTTAGCTCTTTTTACAAACCTGGGGGGATGCTCTAATTTATTCCTTTTAATATTTATAAGGGACAGAGAAATCCTGTATGTAGGGTTTGTCCAATAGGTTTGAACCCAGTGTGACTACATCTCTGCTAATTCTAAAACTGCTGCATTTTAAATAAGGCCCCATTTACACCATGTACCCACAAAAATAAAAAAAAAGGCCCTTTGACCAAACTCAGTCTTCTGCTTAGCTAAGGATGGGAATGACCTTTGTGGCTTGGGTGTAAATATCTGGTACAAGAAGTACCTTGATGCAAAGACCTGTTGTGTTGTAGTATTTAATTGGGTATTGTAAAACTTCATCCTTCTTTATAGTAAATAAATAATTTGTTGGCAAAGAGTAAATAAACCGACTTTCAAGATGGTGCACTTTGTTTTCTCCTCCTGAGCAACTAACTTGGAAGCCTCTTGTTTTTCTCATTTTGCACATGCCCATTTTTGAACAACTGATTTGTTCACCTTATGCTCTTGGGCAATATACATTGTTTGATTGGGAGGTTAAGAGGTGACAGTGAAAACCATGAATTAGAAGACACTGAATGTTATTGTGTGAATAGGAGGTATTTACTCCTAGAGTGCCTATTATCCCCAGTAGATCTTATTTCCTAGTATTGAGGCATGAATCTGATTTAAGAAATTAGCATTTCTTATGCCAGGGCAGCAATTTGTGTCAGATTTCAATCTATTTTGAGTGGAAACCAATGTAAGCCTGGTTGAAAAATGGTGAGTAAATTGCTGTCCTAATCAAGGTAAATCAAGCTCTGAGCATATGGCGGATGGCAAGGTGAACTCCTGCCCCGAACAATCAGCTCGTCTCACTTGATGATGGGATGAGGCAGGGCTTGTCTCTTCTTAGTTGGCTGGTGAGAGTGGGGGAGAGATGTACTTAGTCAGATATTATTAGCAGAGTGACCCGGCTGACGGGGCGAGTATAAATAGAAGAAAGCTCGCGTTGATAATAGTGCTTGGCACTTAACACGGCGCTTCATCTTCAAAGCCATTTACAGATGCGGTTCTTCCTGGTACTGCTGCGATTCCGGGCTGTTGCTTGTATGCTGCTTCTTAGGAACATGGAAACAGTGATTTTCAGAGACCAAGATTCGGCTCAAAATTTGGTGGTACCTCTTTTCAGAATCCTTTGAGATTTTTCCATTTTGATTGAAATATTTTGAAAGGTCTCAGCATAGATGCCTGTGCTCATTTTGAAATTCCTGGAGTGTGAAATGAGACAGCTTTCTCTTTGATTTAGACGTGCTAGATTTCCAAGGGTGGCTACAGCATGTCTGGAATTTCACAAGCTTTTCGCTTAGACCTTCATATTTTATTTTGATTGGGAGAATATTATCTTTTCTGAGTCATTAAAAAAAAAAACAAAAAAACAACAACAAACAACCGCAAGCCCTTTCCCTTTGCAGAGTGGCAAGCCTGAAATTGAGTATGTTATTACTTAGCACAAATGCCATTTTCTTGGACCTCTTGAAGGCAGATCAGTTTGGAAGGTCTGAGTCATTGGTGGCTTTCACTGTAGTGAGTCCTTCCTCAGCAGTGAGCCTGGGGGGACCTGATGAATGGAGATGAGAATGATTTCTAATGCTTATGTAGCTTTGTTATCACAGTTTAAAGTTTCACTTTTTCACTTGAGTTTGGATGATTCCAATTGCACAATGATAGTTTATTTTATTTTTTATTTTTATTATACTTTAAGTTCTAGGGTACATGTGCACAACGTGCAGGTTTGTTACATATGTATACATGTGCCATGTTGGTGTGCTGCACCCATTAACTCGTCATTTACATTAGGTATATCTCCTAATGCTATCCCTCCCCCCTCCCCCCATCCCCCCACCCCACGACAGGCCCCAGTGTGTGATGTTCCCCACCCTGTGTCCAAGTGTTCTCATTGTTCAGTTCCCACCTATGAGTGAGAACATGCGGTGTTTGGTTTTCTGCCTTTGCGATAGTTTGCTCAGAATGATGCTTCCCAGCTTCATCCATGTCCCTACAAAGGACATGAACTCATCCTTTTTTATGACTGCATAGGATTCCATGGTGTATATGCACAATGATAGTTTTACATTTCTTGTGTCTAATAAGACAAAAACAAAGTGGAAAATGCTATGTTAGAATTAGCATAAGGGAAGGAGAGAATTTATGAACTCTTATAACTGGAAATCTGAAGTTGGAACTGGACTTATCTTTATTGCTTTGAATTTAAGAGGGAGATCTTTCTTCTACCCAAATTTGCCTAATATTGGGGAAGAAACTGATTGTGTCTGTTTGGGATGCCGGA
This sequence comes from Homo sapiens, assembly GCF_000001405.40. Taxonomy (NCBI): domain Eukaryota; kingdom Metazoa; phylum Chordata; class Mammalia; order Primates; family Hominidae; genus Homo; species Homo sapiens. The sequence goes on along the minus strand of NC_000010.11, from coordinate 7,396,456 downwards.
TTCTAAATCAGTGACAGTGGGCGGGAAACTGTAGGCATTTATGTACTGGAAAATGAGGAGTCCTTTTCTGTGTAATTTGACCAACTAACAGAAAAGTCTTAAATTCACTAACGTTGGGGTTTCCTCCCTGGATGACCCGGCAGATCTCTATACATAACAACCTCCACTGTGTGCTCAGAGATACCAGTCAGCCTTTGTTTTGTCTTGTTTGAGACAGTCTCGCTCTGTCGCCCAGGCTGTAGCGCAGTGGCGCAATCTTGGCTCACTGCAACCTCCATCTCCTGGGTTCAAGCGATTCTCCCTTGAGAATCCTGTAATTCCAGCCTCCCTAGTAGCTGGAATTACAGGTGCCCACCACCACACCTGGTTAATTTTTGTACTTTTAGTAGAGGCAGGGTTTCACCATGTTGGCCAGGCTGGTCTCGAACTCCTAACTTCAGCTGATCCTCCTGCCTTAGCCTCCCAAAGTGCTGGGATTACACGTGTGAGCCACCTCACCTGGCCCAGTCAGCCTTTTAATTTCCTACTCTGCAACATCAGCAAACATCTACGAATTACTAGACTACTAAGGTAAGCAGTAATATAAAAGTAGACACCAGAACTAACAGAGAGAAACATAACGTCTATGAAGGAGAGAAGAAAATCTGAAAAACATTCATAGCCTTAGGGATATAATAGAAAATTTTACATCCACATAACAAAAACAGGATAGGATGAAAATGGAGACTGTTACAAGCATTAAAAAAAAAAAAAAAGAGCTTTTAGAAATTAAAATGTAAAACTCAATGGAAGGGTTAGAGAGAAAGTTGAGGAAATATCCCAGATGGTGGATTAAACAAAATAAAGTGATAGAAGGTAAAGGGGAAAATTAAGGAAATTGAAGAAGTCTAGCATTTGAATGACTCTTAGAATGAAAGAGAAAACGGAGATGAGGAAATTAGCAATAATTCAAGAAAATATCCTAGAGCTGAAGAACCTGAATTTCAATCTTGAAAGAAGTCACTCACCACTAGGGTGCCACCAGGCACATTATTGTGAGATTTCAGAAATGTCAAAAAGTCCCCTAATTAGGACAGCATCAGACACTTCAGCGATGGAAGCCAGACGGCCATGGAGGGAAGCCCTCAAGATTCTGAGGGAGGACGTTTTTCCAACGTAGAATTCTTTTTTTTTCCTCCAAGGTGGAATCTTGCTCTGTCACCCAGGCTGCAGTGCAGTGGCTGCTCACTGCAGCCTCCACCTCCTGAGTAGCTGGGATTACAGGTGCGCGCCACCACGCTGGGCTAGCTTTTGTATGTTTAGTAGAGACGAGGTTTCATTATGTTGGCCAGACTGGTCTCGAACTCCTGACCTCAGGTAATCCACCCACCTTGGCTTCCCAGAGTGCTGGGATTACAGACATGAGCCACTGTGCCCGGCCCAACGTAGCATTCTCTACCCACCTACACTAGTGGTGAAATAGAATAGGTTAAAGACACACCACCCATCCAGAGTTTCCACATAAATCCTTTCTTAGGAATCTGTTGGAGGGTGTGTTTCTTCATCAGGAGCCAGACACTAAGAGAGAAGCAGACAAGAGGCCCTCTGTGTAACAGAGGGAGGGGAGGTGAGACTGCAGGCTAACATTGGTGTCCCAGGCAGAGAAGCAGTTCGTGTAGATTATAGCAGAAAGGAAGGCCCCAGTAGACATTGCTTCAAGATGAAATGAAAGCAGTACCTATATACCTCAATTTATGGACAGGTGCTTTAGACAGTTTATGAAAAATTTGGATTTGAATTGGTGATAAATACATAGAAAATGAAGGCCTTGGAATAAGCAAGACCATTATTAATGACAGGGGAGAGTTGTGTGCACTGAGAGTAGTCACTCCTGGCGTGTTTGCAGAGACCTAAGGACGCAGTGGGAGCTGCCAGGGGGGTGAGCGTGTCGGGGAGTTGTTGGGGGGTGGGGGTCATGTGACCAGTAGGCATCACCTAATAATGACAGATATGGAAGAACTAGGAAGTGGCGTGTTCCCCAGAGAGTGGAGAGGAATGCCAGAACAGTCGGCTGAGAGAGCAAAAGTGGTCCCCAAGCAGGAGATGGGGACGCGGGAGAAGGGCAGGAGATGACTGGGTTTGATTTTTAGGGGTGGGCATCGACGCACAGGCCTTATAGAGAATATTTGGCTTTCAAAATTATATGCAGATGTAACTCTGATATAAAAAATCATCTCACTGGGCGTGCTGGTGGGTGGATTGCTTGAGCCCACGAATTCGAGACCAGCCTGGGCAACATGGTGAAACCCCGTCTCTACCAGACATGGTGGCGCGCCTGTAATCCCAGCTACTTGAGAGGCTGAGTTAGGAGGATCTCTTGAACCCGGGAGGCGGAGGCAGTGAGCCGAGATCGAAGCACTGCACTCCAGCCTGGGCGACAGAGTGAGACCCTTTCTCAAATTAAAGAAAAAAAAAATCACAATACTTCTAGGATACAGTTGTTAGGATTTGGGATTGGCTGTGTATCAGCGACCCAAAGTTAGAGTGGCATCAACAAGAGAGTGGCTTATTTTCCTCTGATGTAGTGGCCTGGAGCTGGCAGAGCAGCCTTATAGTCTCAGGACCAAGTCCCTGTATCTTCTGTTTTGCTGTTCATGGGGACAATCAGCTGGGTGATCCTAGGTCTAGGGGTCAGAGGGCAAAGGCATGCCCCTTCCACCGTGTAGTTGGACACGTGAATCCCGTACACCTCCCATTAGCAGAACTTAGTGACTTGAATTCATCTAACCACAAGGAAAGCTGGGCAATGTTGTTTTGGTCAGCCAGTTACTCCTTACTGTAGACAAAGTAGAAGACAGATTCAGGGGTGGTGGAGTTAGCAGCCTCTGCCACAGTGATTTCTACCTGTGTGCACTTTCAGGTATGTTCTGCTCACAGTAGAATGCCTGGGACGACAAAGTCATTAGAGACTGCAAAAAATCACTGCTGTCCCTTTGCAAACCTACCTTAAATGACCCCAATTTAATTATTGTTTAACTAGAGGGGTATGTGAACAGTATGCAGAGTTTCTGTTCCTTCGACTTTTCTTATTGAATGAAAGTTTGGTGAACTGAAACAGCCTTGTATGTGTAAGAATATAATATATGAGGCCGGGCATGGTGACTCATGTCTGTAATCCCAGCACTTTGGGAGGCCAAGACGGGTGGATCACCTGAGGTCAGGAGTTTGAGACCAGCCTGACCAACATGGCAAAATGCCGTCTCTACGAAAAATACAAACATTAGCCAGGTGTGGTTACATGCACGTGTAATCCCAGCTACTCGGGAGGCTGAGGCAGGAGAATCACTTGAACTGGGAGGCGGAGGTTGAGTGAGCTGAGATCACACCACTGCATTCCAGCCTGGGCGACGGAGCAAGACTCTTGTCTCAAAAAAAAAAAAATTATATATATATATATATATATATATATATATATATATATATATATATATATAATCTATCCACATACTTGTATATATAGGATAGACAGGATATAAACATCTAATGAGATAGGAGTGGATTGTTTAATTGTGAGGAGGATGAACTGAGAGGTGTAACTGATGAAATATTTGAGTGTAAATTCCCTGTATGTTAAAACAGTGAATGTAAAACTTGAAATCCCAAAAAAGTTAGACTTCTGGTATCTTAGGGTAGGGGAAGACCTTTTACAAGTTTTAGAAGAAATAAAGCAAATTGATAGATCTGACTAAGTTGAAAAAGAAAAACATTCTCTCTTGTCAAAAGAAACCACGAAAAGGTAGACTGGGAAAAATATTTGCAATAGTTTTGTGAGATAAAATAATCTAGATCTCTTAAAAATCCATCACAGATACCAACGTAGTTTAAATATGGGAAGGAAGTGAAAGAGGCATCAACAGGTGAATTACAAATTACAGTGGCAGGATACTATTTTTTTTTTTCCTTTGAGACGGAGTCTCGCTCTTTGTCCAGGCTGGAGTGCAGTGGTGCAATCTCAGCTCACTGCAACCTCTGCCTCCTGGGTTCAAGCGATTCTCCTGCCTCAGCCTCCTGAGTAGCTGGGATTACAGGTGTGTGCCACCACTCCTGGCTAATTTTTGCATTTTTAGTAGAGACTGAGTTTCTGCATGTTGCCCAGGCTGGTCTTGAACTCCTGAGCTCAAGTGATCCGCCCACCTCGGCCTCCCAAAGTGTTGGGATTACAGGCGTGAGCCACCGCACCCAGGCAGGATACTATTTTTTGAATGTCAAATAAAGAAAAGGTATAAAGGGTTTAGATGTTTTCTCCTGCCCTGCTAGTAAACCAGCTTAGCGGACTTGAGAGCATGTTTTCAGGGGGGTCATGAGCCTCAACTGTGTCCCCATATTTTTGACCCTATAATTTAACTTCTGGGATTCTACATTAAGGAGACATCAGAGATGTAGGATTTCTGACTGAGAGTCGTGACTAGAGTGCTACTTACCATGGTGAAAAAATAATATAAACAGCTTTAATGGGCGGCAGCAGAGGCATGGTAAATACATGACCTTATTCATTTTATAATAAAAATTATCCAACCATTTCAAGTCATGTTTTCAGAGAATCTTAATGACGCGAGAAATTCCTTCTGTGTAATGCAAAATGAAAAAATGGATTGGAATTCCGAATTCTCTGTGAACTAAACAACAACAACAAAATCCACAGAGAAACTATCAGGAGGAGATACTATAGAAACATAAAATTGATTATCACTGAGTATTAGAATTACAAGTGATTTTAATTTCTTTCTTTATAATTTTACTTTTCAAGATTTCTACCAAGAGCATGTCTATCTCTTATAGGAAGGAAAAAACTAAATGTTGTTGAAAAAGTCAAAGTGGGACACATCGTTTGCAAAGTGAATCAATTTTGCAGTCACCTGGGTGGACGTAGGGGGAAGTCTTCCAGTGGCACGGCCATTGCCCTCCAGAGTCATGTGAGCTTTCACTCTGCTACTGTTTTTTTTTTTTTTTTTGAGACAGAGTCTCGCTCTGTTGCCCAGGCTGGAGTGCAGTAGCGCTATCTTGGCTCACCACAACCTCCACCTCCTGGGTTCAAGCGATTCTCCTGCCTCAGCCTCCCGAGTAGCTGGGATTATACGCACGTGCCACCATGCCCGGCTAATTTTTCTATTCTTAATAGAGACAGGGTTTCACCATGTTGGTCAGGCTGGTCTCAAACTCCTGACCTCGTGATCCACCCGCCTTGGGCTTCCAAAGTGCTGGGATTACAGGCGTGAGCCACCACGCCCAGCCACTGTGCTACTCTTTCAGTGGCTTTCTTGTTGGTCTTTGTATTATTACTCTTCAGTTTTATTGATTGATTGATTGATTGACTGAGTGAGTCGGAGTCTCACTCTGTTGCCCAGGCTGGAGTGCAATGGTGCGATCTCAGCTCACTGCAACCTTAGCCTCTCAGGTTCAAGTGATTCTCCTGCCTCAGCCTCTCAAGTAGCTGGGATGACAGACACGTGCCACCAAGCCCTGCTAATTTTTGTATTTTTAGTGGAGATGGGGTTTCACCATGTTGGTCAGGCTAGTCTCGAACTCCTGACCTCAGGTGATCCTTCTGCTTCAGCTTCCCAAAGTGCTGGGATTACCGGCATGAGCCAACGCACCAGGCCTTGAGTTCTATTTAAAATGATTGATTTGATGCATTTAAATTTTACAGTCTCAGATTACTGTTCTGTAGTGTCTAGTTAGAGGCAAATGGGTAATGAGGAGTCATAAGACTTGAGCAAACTTTTCCCCTTTTAATAAGTGTCTATAAGCCACTGACATTTAACTGATTTATTAATAGCCATATTCATGGACTTTTTTTTCTTTATAGAAAAACTTGGTACATGACTACATTTTTGAGGCGGAATGATTTTCCTGAATTTATAAATGAATGAAAAAAAGCAAATAGTCTTTGTATGACACACGTAATAGTTTCTAAGATGTTTCTCCTTTGACATTTTCCATTGATATAAAAATGCAGCTGATTTAATAAAAACCTATGCTGTGTTAGGAAGTTTGCCGTGAATCATTTGTGGAATATTAGGGGGAAACTGTTAAGTCTCCTTTTGAAGTTTCTTAGATTTAAAAATTCATGAGTTTTAACTAGCTTGACATTATTACATTAAAACTTTTAAGACAGCCAAGAATTGATGGTTGTTTAGGACATGTTCCAAGCCCTCAAATACGGCTCTCCAGTGCAGTGGCTTGCTGGGCTGCCCACCTTCTACCCACATGTGCCTAGTTCAATTCAAGGTCATTAAAATTAAAATTCAGGTCCTCAACAGTACTAGATACGCTTCCAGTGCACTGTAGCCAACGTGTGGCTAGTGGTTACTGTACTGGACCAAGCAGATATAGATCAGGCAGTGCTGGTCTAGATGCATTCAACATAGATAATGAGCCCCCAGTTATGTTTGGCTAGTTGAAGAGTAATATCTAATGCATGTTCTTTCTCACTCGTGTTCTTCCTAACAAGGCTTTGCTTAGCCTGTGCTAGCATTACTCTATTCTTTGACTATACCTCAAGTGAAAGGAGAAGGAAAGATAGGGTTGAGAGGGGAGGATGCTTATTGTATTAAATTTGCTTCAAACATAAAGGGATAATCTGAATGCAGAAAATGTACAATGAATCATAATAACACCTGGATTGATAAAATTTTAGATTTGAAAGGGGTGATTGCATCTCATCAAGCTTTCTGATTGAACTGATGAGAAATTCAAGGAGTAGAGAGGTTAAGTAATTTGTTTATGTCACACAGCCACATAGCTTGTTATTCCCTTATTCTGCAAGCTCTCTGTTCTTTTCACTGGTCCAAGACAACTCTTGTAAGAAGTTCCAGTACTAGAATTCTGTTGTCCAACAGAGACAAAAGGAGCCTATTATAGTAGAGTTAACTTTGTACAAAACCACAAAGTGTATTGTATAAAACAGGAAGTTACCTTTTATAAGCCCAGTCTTCTGAATGTTTTTTGTATTGTCTTTGGAAAAAACTGTTACTTTAATTAATAGACACTTTTACTTTGTTCTTGAAATTACGTATAGCTTAAGAAACAAAAGGAAATACGCTTTCTTTTAATAATAGCCTTTTTGGGGGGTTAGGGTGTTGTAGTTAGGAAAAGGCTTTTTAAAAATATACTGTTTCTATTTTGCAAAGCTTATGGGTGGAGCAGTTGTCACCACCAAGATTTGCCCCTCTAACCCCCCAAAAACATCCCATTGAATGTAAATAGAAATTCCTGTGAAGTGGGTTATTATTCTCATATTTGATAGGTTTCCCCAAGAATTATCTGTTTCCACAGACACTGCATAGGTTCCATTAGTTGCTGTGGAAAGTGAAGTAATTTATTCTAGGAACTGTGACTGTGTGCTGTGAAAAGATTGCATTTTGTTAACATAATTTCTACGGCGTTCTGTTGATGGGGCCTCTCAAATACTTCTTGGACCTGTTCCCTTCATTTCTTCTCCACTGTCTTAGTTCACACCCTTGCCTGCACTTCCATGTTTTTAGTTTGTTTCCATTCATCCATCTCGCCTATGGCTCCCTGAGTGCTTTTTCTGAAACAAACCTGATCATTTCACTTCCTGGAACACCCTGCCACATCCACTCCATCTGCAGAGTGACACGCAGGGCTCGGGCCCTTACTGTAGCAAACATTCTCTTCTCACCTGGGCTCAGCCTGCCTCTCTGTTCTCACCCCAAGTCTTTGTTCAGATATCACTTCCTGAGGTCTTGCCTGACTGTCATGTAAATAATTATCATCCTTCTGGTGGGGTGTGGTGGCTCATGTCTATAATCCTAGCACTTTGGGAGCCAGAGGCGGACAGATCACTTGAGGCCAGGAGTTTGAGACCAGCCTGGCCAACATGGTGAAATTCCGTCTCTACTAAAATACAAAAAAAAAAAAAAAAAAAAAAAATTAGCTGGGTATGGTCAGGTGCACCTGTAATCCCAGCTACTCGGGAGACTGAGGCAGGAGAATTGCTTGAACCTGGGAGGTGGAGGTTGCAGTGAGCCAAGATTGGGCCATTGCACTCTAGCCTGGGTGAACAAGAGCAAATACTCCATCTCAATCATCATCATCATCATCATCATCATCATCATCATCATCATCATCCTTCTTTGTTTGCCTGATCTTTTCTGCTTCATTTTTCCCTATAGCACTTATCACCATCTAACAGGCTATATCACCTACTAATTAAAAAAAAAAAAAACTCCATTGGCTCTTTCTCCCAATTAGGATGAGATCTCTACCAGGGCAGGAATTTTTTGTTTTGTTTTGTTACAGATGCCTTCGCATGCCTGGAACAGTGCCTGACATGGAATGGGGGATCAGTACATATTTGGGGATGAATGGGCGTGATGCCGCTTGCTCCACGTTCCTGTCTCCCACCCTCTCCCTTGAGGCACCTTAGACTTTTTCCCAAGGGTCTGCCATGCTGTTTGCTGCTGGTACCTCCACGTTTAATGGCTTTTCTACCTTTTTTTTTTTTTTTTGAAACAGAGTTGCTCTGTCGTCCAGGCTGGAGTGCAGTGGGAGCCATCTCAACTCACTGCAACCTCTGCCTCCCGGGTTCAAGCAATTCTTCTGCCTCAGCCTCCTGAGTAGCTGGGATTACAGGTGCACACGACCATACCCAGCTAATTGGTTTTTTTTTTTTTTTTTCCTATTTTTAATAGAGACAGGGTTTCGCCATGTTGGCCAGGCTGGTCTCAAACTCCTGGCCTCAAGTGATCTGCCCGCTTCAGCCTCCCAAAGTGCTGGGATTACAGACGTGAGCCACCATGCCCATCCTCCTTTGGTTTCCTCTTATCCTCGGCTCCTCTGGGCATTTCCTCTTGAGCCTCTCCTAATTTTCTGTTCCGCTTTGATGCACCCCCCGGCCCACCCAAGCTCGCCTTCCTATCCTTGTTGATATTTGCATCTTGTCCTTCGTGGGATTCCAGGTACATTCTTGGTGGACTTGGTGGTGGTTATGTGTGCGGTTGGACGGACAGACTTGCTTTTAGCAGCCACTTGTCCTTGCTGGCAGCCACTGGTATTTATATGTCTGTCCCCAGTGCCCAACGTGGTGTCTGGCATAAATAAATCAGATGTTCCATTAATACACACACAAGAAAACTGCATGGTATCAGCACTTATCTGTCTGGCATTAGTTTTAAAATTGTATGTGTCTTAGAATTTGCTAAGAAAAGTTTACTGTAAGCTCTTGAGGAAAGCTTTTCAGGAGGAATTAATTTGGAGAAAAATGCTCCATGCCTAGGAGTGTTGAGTGCTCACAGATGACACTGTGTGGGGTCCCTGCCACTCCCTAGTTTAGTTTTATTTCTTTTCATTGCCCCTTCCCCACAATAGGTGCTCAGTTATTAAAAATCGATGATTTAAGTAAAAATATAAAAGTCATAGCTGCATTATGGGAAATGTGGATAATGGGGGAAAGGGAACTGTAATTGACTGGTTAGGGCGTGGTTTCTGGAGCCAGTTGTGTGGGTTCAAACCGCAGCCCCACCACTAGCGGCTCTGTGATGCTGAGCAGGTGACTTCATCCCTTAGGTTGCTTATCTGTAAGATGGGAACAGTAATATAACCTACATCCTAGAGTTCTGAGGATTAAATAAGTGCATGTTTATTATGTACTTAGTAATCACTGTAAGTGTTGGTAAAATAAAATGATCGTAAATGCATGCTTACCATGCTAACACTTCCATTTCTTCTCTTTGGAGCGACAGAAGCTCCTCCTCTTACCAACAGGTTTAGGTTCCCAAGACTGCTGAGAAGTCCATTCATTTTAACTCCAAATCACCTAACCAATGACCAGTGGGTTCACATACACAGAATTTTTTTTTTTGCTCCGACTCCTAGGCTGGAGTGCAGTGGCATGATATCAGCTCACTGCAACCTCTGCCTCCTGGGTTCAAGCAATTCTTGTGCCACAGCCTCCTAAATAGCTGGGATTACAGGCATGTGCCACCATGCCTGGCTAATTTTTGTATTTTTAGTAGAGATGGGTTTCACCACATTGGCCAGGCTGGTCTCAAACACCTGGCCTCAGGTAATCTGCCCACCTTGGCCTCCCAAAGCTCTGGGATTGCGAACCACTCCCCTGGCCCACATACGCAGAATTTTAATTTTTTCCCCACCATAATAAGCTTCTGTCTCTTCTCACTAGGACACTACTATTGCTTTTGTACTTACTGGACAAGATGGAGTTGTGTTCTTTAAATGTCTCGAAAGTAATCACATACCCACAAAATACACACATACACTCAGCACAGGGAAGCCGTCCCTGAGCATGAGCCATCCTGAGATGGCCAGGCTGAAATGTGGATTGTGAAACACTGCTCGCTTTTTATTATTTTTTCCTGGATTGTGGTTTTGCTCTTATCTATGAAAGTTTGAAATCTGAGAGCTTGTAAGGAGAGGGGCTTTTTTTTGTTATGTTTTTTTGAGACAGAGTCTCTCTCCCCCAGGCTGGAGTGCAGTGGCACGATCTGGGCTCACTGCAAGCTCTGCCTCCCGGGTTCACGCCATTCTCCTGCCTCAGTCTCCTGAGTAGCTGGGACTACAGGTGCCCACCACCACGCCTGGCTAATTTTTTTGTATTTTTAGTAGAGACGGGGTTTCACCGTGTTAGCCAGGATGGTCTTGATCTCCTGACCTCGTGATCCGCCCGCCTCGGCCTCCCAAAGTGCTGGGATTACAGGCGTGAGCCACTGTGCCTGGCCAGGAGAGGGGCTTTCGTACTGGAATCCCTCCCTGCCTTAGCTCGTTTGAGTGTTCTCCCTGTGCCCTTTCCGTGCTTGTACTCCTGTGTCCATAGCTCTAAGCTTTTCATGGAGCTGTGTTTTTTGTTATGATCATTGTTTTTGGGGCTCCGTCATATGCCTTCAAGGCCCCTTTCTCCTGGATACATTCTGGCATTGTCTCCTCCCTTTTTCTTCCCTGGTTTACCTTTGTTTGCTCCACGTGTTTCAGTTCCTACCTTTTTCCTTCAGTTGCACACCCTTCTCCCCTCCACATTCCCGGTATTTTCCCTGAGTGATCACTGGAGGGAGAGCTGGGAGAGCTGAGCATTCCACAGTGGGCTGCCACCCTCCGCTCTCCAAGCCCATGCCACCTGTGGCTTCTGGAGTCTGTGGATGCTGTCTCTCTTCCTCAGTGACCACGTGATCCTGTCATCTCATAACCGCGCTTCCTTACATGGGGTAGAGGTGAGGGGTGGAGGGTGCATATCTTACCCTTTGTAATATTCCAGGTACCCTCTGAACATTCTCAGTGGACGCTTGGGTATTTGGTTGGATGGACACACTTGCTTATCAACAAGTAGTTTGTTTACAGAGTGCCTCAGTGCTCGCTCCCTGCATGCCAGGGGCAATCCAGGTGAACTGGGGGTCCTGCTACCCACTGTAAGCTCCAGGTGTAGCGCAGAAGACCTTAGAGTGCCCTTGGCAGGCAGCCTTTCCTCTGCTGTGTGCAGCTCATGGGAGGAAATCTCTGGAACCTTCTGAGACAAGGTGTGAGCAGGTCAGTTCGGTGTTAGGTGATGTTTAGTTCTGTGGCCGCCAATGCAGTGGGTTGATTGTTGTGAAGGAGGTAGTTCCTACGTCCAGATTTTTGTGCCCCTGTCATCACAGGAATCTGGAAGGATTGCTCTTAGAAGAATGCAGCTCTGTCCATCATTCGGAGGGTTCTTTTAGCAAACTGATACCCACAGGGGTAAAATGTAGCCAGCCTCCATAGTAAATTGCTCAGTTTACCAATGTCCTCCGTTAACAACAACAGCAAAAATCTTAGAACCCCTCCAGCTGTTAAAAGGTTCCTTCATTTAGTGTCGATTCCAGCTAAGCTTTCGGAAACTAAGCTCATTACATTGCAGATGATTCACTGGGGATATAAGATAACTTCATTTTTTTTTATTAAAAAACCGTTATTTTCATTATTAAAAACTGTTAAAAAAGGATTTCACTATTTAAAAAATTTCATTTTCATTATGAACGAAGCAAACTCAGTTTGTATTTTGGTTCAGGTCGTTTCTGTAGATACCGTATTTTCTTACACTACCTGCCTTAGATTTAGGCATCTAGAGGGCCACGGTTAAGATTGTGCTCACTCGCTTCCTCCGAGGTGCCCCAGACGGTGCCACAGTGAGCACGTCATGTCCATTTCTCTTCAGGGATGGTACTTATTTGTCCTTTCTGTGGTTGTTTTTTTTTTTTTTTTTTTTTTTTTTTGAGATGGAGTTTTGCTCTTGTTGCCTAGGCTGGAGAGCAATGGCGCGATCTCAGCTCACCACAACCTCCGCCTCCCGGGTTCAAGCGATTCTCCTGCCTCAGCTTCCCGAGTAGCTGGGATTACAGACATGTGCCACCATGCCTGGCTAATTTTTGTATTTTTAGTAGAGATGGGCTTTCACCGTATTGGTCAGGCTGGTCTTGAACTCCTAACCTCAGATGATCTGCTTGCCTCAGCCTCCCAAAGTGCTGGGATTACAGGCATGAGCCACCGCACTCAGCCTTTCTGTGATTTTAAAACAAGCTGAAGAAACTGTTTAGGACCTAGTACACTGCATTTTACCCATAGCTCTCACACTTTAAATCAGGAAAGTCCTGGTTTAAGTTACTTGTATCACTGATGTTGACTTCTACGCCTCAAACCTTGTGCCCTCATTTTTGTCTCAGAAAACATAAGGCCCTGTGCTGAGAAAGTGAGGGAGCGATAATCTCGCATTGACAGGGGCCTTCTCTGTTGCACTGTCATTCCCTTGGCTTAGTCAAGAACTTATCTTTGTAGTAGCAAAATGCCTAGATTGCTGTTTGCCGACCCACTCCGGATAGTTTTATAGTTCATTCTCCGAAACAGGTATTTTCTTTCTTTGTACTGTGGTTGAGAAGTAGCTTCCTGTCCTCTCCACAGTGTCTGGTATAGTACGTTAAATACAACAGGTGGATAGCTCAATGCACTTTGAATTAAATTTCAGTGCTATGTACCTGGTACATTCCCCATCTCTTCCTACTTGTTCCTGGCATGAGTTTCCAGCTTTTTCTCTCCCATTGCACAAATGAGTAACATGCTCTTTCATGAACCTCCTGTTTTTTGTTTATTTAGAGATGGGGGTCTCAATACATTGCCCAGGCTGACCATGAACTCCTGAGCTCAAATGATCCTCCCGCCTCAGCCTCCCAAGTAGCTGGGATGACAGGTGCAGGTAGGCTACCCACTGCACCTGGCATGAATCTTCAATTTTGACAAAACCTCCGAATGTTTTTTAAAAGATATTTTACCACTATGTGAGTCACAAAATATCCCATTGATAGATACAGGTGCATTATATTCTTTTGTTTCTTCATCTCTACTTTCCTGTTGGCTGATTTAAACTTCTCTCTATGTGTGACATAGAACATTGAATGAATGAGAGAAACACCATGTGGTCGTGGTGGTTTAAAAACACCATGTGAGCTGTGTCTGAGCATCGGAGCCAGGTATGGCTGCTCGATGGTTAACGATTACTCCTGGTATCTCCTGGGCCCTGACATAAAGGAGCTGGAGAGTAGGATTCTGTGGGAACCAGCTCTAATGTTGCTGCTTTTTCCAGCAGTCTTATTAGAAGACAAGCGGGGAATAGCAGTGCTATCGTAGGGAAAGTCTTGTCTCCATTTCTGCTTTGTGAAAAAGCACATTATTGACAAACATCGATACTTTAACTGGTTTTGGTAACAGATCATGTGTAACACGTGAGGACTTCTTCCTGAGGCAGGGCACTGCGTGTTGCAGTACCTGCGCGTGGGATGCTGAGGTTGTGTGGGGGGTGGAGGTTGCTGCTACATAGCTTCAAGGCGGGGGGAGTGTCTTACCAATGTTGCCATGGTGGATCGAGGACTGAAATGCAAGTTTCTGTTCGTGAAATATGTGTCCATCTTAGTGGTGATAATGACCTCTAGAACACGGATGGTTTTGCTACGCCGAGACCTTTATTGTTGACCTGTGTAGAGATGTACTCATTAGTCTTTTTAACTAATTAATTAATTTTTTTTTTGAGACAAAGCCTCACTCTGTTTCACAGGCTGGAGTGCAGTGGTGTGATCTCAGCTCACTGCAATCTCTGCCTCCCAGGTTCAAGCGATTCTCCTGCCTCAGCCTCCTGAGTAGCTGTAATTGCAGGTGCATGCCACCACTCCTGACTCACTTTTGTATTTTCAGTAGAGACAGGGTTTCACCATGTTGGCTAGGGTGGTCTCGAACTCCTGACCTCAAGTGATCCACCCACCTCGGTCTCCCAAAGTGCTAGGATTACAGGCATGAGCCACTGCACCTGGCCTCAGTGTACTAGAATACTTATTCCTGGTATTTTCTATTACAACATTATGTTGCATCTTGAAAGTTATAATGAAATGGTAGTGGCACTAATAAGGTTTTTTTTAAACAAAATTAAAAATAAGTGAATATAATCAATATGATTAAACTGCTCTGATTTTTTTTTTTTTGATTGCTCTTAGGTAATTTTTTCTGCAGGATGAATTAAGAGAAGAGACACTTGCTCATCAGGCATGGAGAGCACTTTGTCAGCTTCCAATATGCAAGACCCTTCATCTTCACCCTTGGAAAAGTGTCTCGGCTCAGCTAATGGAAATGGAGACCTTGATTCTGGTAGGATTTTGTTTTCGAGATTCATCTGGATTTTTGATGAATTGATCAATATCTTCCTGAAAGTATTCAGGAAACAATGGGGCAACATTTGTAGATCTCACATACTGTCTGGTTCCTGGGATTTGAAGTCCTATTTATAAGGATATGGCCGCTCTAAAATTTGGGTCAAGATTCTTATTTTGAATACTAGACAGAGAGGACTAGGTTATAGTGCAGCAACACATCACTTCAGAATCTCAGTGGCCTGGGCAGGAAACGTCTACAAATCACCGTAGCATGGAGTCGTTGTGCACCATCCTGCAGGGTTTGTTGTGAGTGAGAAGAGCAGGGTTGGAGGTCTCGGACCAGCAGTCATCTGCTCTGGCTCGCAAGAGACAAATGCCATTTTTGCTCAGAACCCCTTGACAGGAAGTTAGTTGCATGTTTCTGCCACAGCAAGGGAGGTTAGGAAAAAGAATTCCCTCCCAAGTGCTGGAGAGAGAGAGACAGGACATCCAGATCTGCCTACGTAGTAGATGCCGATGATACAGCATCTAATATGTTGAGCACATCTGTCAGAAAAGCATACAGTGTGGAAGGAAGTGAGGTCATGCGGATTGGTGGTGAAGTGCGTCTCCCTTCCAGAAATCTGAAAAACAGAACAGCTCCCTCCTCGGACTCAAACACAGCCTTCGATTCAAATGTATGTATGTATGTATGTATGTATGTATGTATGTATGTATGTATGTGTGTATGTGTGTGTGTGTGTTTTGAGACAGGATCTCACCTGTTGCCCAGGTTGGAGTACGGTGGTGCAATCATGGCTCACTGCAGCCTTGACCTCTTGGGCCCAAGTGATCTTCCCACCTCAGCCTCCACAATAGCTGGGACTACAGGTGTGTCCCACTGTGCCTGCTGACTTTTAAATTTTTTGTGGAGATGGGGTCTCACTGTGTTGTCCAGGCTTGTCTTAAACTACTAGGCTCAAGTGATCCTCCTGCCTTAGCCTCCCAAAGTGCTGAGATTATAAGTGTGATTCACCACACCTAGCCTTGATTGGATTTTAATTATTTAACTAATGAAGTTATAAATGCATAAATGTATCTTTTTCTAAATACTTACACAATAAAGGGTTTATTTAGAAAGGATACCTTTAAAAAAAAAAGGGTTGCATTGTTTATACATACCAGCAAATGACTTAAGGACAGTTTAGTCCTCTGAGTTGTAAACATTAGCTATGGTGAATTCCTATAAAAAATGTTGCGCATTAAGTTAGCAGGTCACTTGACCATGGTCCAAAGAAGTCACAAAGTTTGTCTTCACATTTTGATGAGACTAGTCAATGACAGATTACAGGTTGCTCCATATCATTGAATTTATTAGATTAAGTTTATGAAATTACATCTTTATATGGAAGAAACCCTGGAAAACCCTCACATGAGGGAAGGCCTTACTGTGTTGAAGGGCGTTAGTATCTGTTTCCAAATCGGCTCATTTGTCCCTCTTTCAGATTTTTCTACACATAAACCAGATGGGAGAAGACTTCTCCTGCAAGTAAAGCTGGATCATTGTTCCTCCCTGGAAACATGGAAATTATTTTCTGAGAAGGCATAGTTGTATAGGCTGAAAGTTCATCCTAATTATTCTACTTTATTTAAGTACAGATTTCCCTTTTTAAAAAGTCTTTCCTATGTTTGCTGAGTGAAGTTATTTTTCAAATTCTGGAGTTCCTGAGCTTTCAGGGTATTTTTGTAGTATATCATCTGCACACATCCAACGTGGATTACTGAGTTATTTCTCATGATATGTTTTGGAAACTGTTTAAACACCAACTGTGTATTGGCTTTTCATGTGCACACGGTTGCAGTGTATCTCTCTAACTTAAGTAGTTTCTGAAACTCATTAATGATAATCTGGTGTCGGGAAAATGATTTGTACCGACATTTCGTTAAGGGTGGCTGTATGGATGGCAAGTGTGAGAGCGAGAATCATTATATCCTTGGCTGGGGGAGTCCATGCAGAAAACCCATGTATACTCATGTTGTGATTGGTTCCTTGCTCTTGCATCGGGGATGGCCTAAATCATACAGGATGTTCAGATCTTTAATGGAAATACTATTTCTAAATGGCTCTAAATGATCTTAACATTTTTCAGATATTGGCTCAGATTTTTCTCCACCCCCATGTGGCTAATCTGTCCTTTCGCCTTGGGATTTCTGTATTTACTTGTGCGGTGAGGAGAGTTTTAGATGACGATACAGACTCTTTAAAGAGGACACACATTTAAAGCAGAGTCTAAGACTTTGCAGAGGACAGTGGCTGGATTCACTTGAGAAACTCAAATCTAGTTTTGAGCATTTTCATTCCACAAGTAGCTTATTTTTTTTTTACTAAAATCTAGTTTTGAGCATTCAAACTATTAAGTATGATTCTACAAGTAGTTTATTATTATTTTTTCCAATCTGCTAACCCACAAAATATTTCCAGTCCTGGAATCACTTGGTGAGATATTTGGTTCTGGGACCAGCTGGGACAGGTTTGGGGCTGTTGCAGAGTCTTAGTGCTGAAGGTCTTCTCCTGGGAAGCATTTTCAGATGGGACTTACTCATCCCACGTACAGGAGGAGGCAAACCCAGTGTTCTTTAGCTGGTTCTGAACTGACTCGCGATGATAGGTGTATGAGTTCAGACTGTGTGGCAGGCACAGAAAATGTTAAGTTCTTTGCGTGTGTTAATTCACCTAATCCTTCAACAGCCCACTGGCATTCAACAGCCCACTGGCATAGCTGCTTTTATTGCCCCACTTTCACAGATGAGGAGACTGGACGACAAGGTGAAGTGACTTGAGCCCTGTGTTAGAAGCAAGATTTAATTTCAGGCATTGTGAGGCTGTGGAGTTGGTGCTCTGAAACCCTGGGGGGCACCTGCCCCTTCAAGTGCACAGATGAGTCATCAGGAAATCCCAACAGCCTCCTACCCACCCATCCATACACTCACACCCACACTCACGCCCACCCCACAGCCACACACACCCACACTCACACCACCCCACAGCGACACACCCACACTCACACCACCCCACAGCCACACACCCACCCCACAGCCACACACACCCATGCACACACCCGACCATCCACCCATCCACACATACACCCACACACACCCACACTCACACCCATCCATCCACCCATCCATCCACTCAACCCACACTCACACCCACCCCACAGCCATACACACACACACTCACACCCATCCATCCACCCATCTATACATACACCCCCCCACACACTCATACCCATCTATCCACCCACCCATCCACACATACACCCACACACACCCACACTTACACCCATCCATCACCCATCCACACATACACCCACACACACCCACACTCACACCCATCCATCCACCCATCCACACATACACCCACACACACCCACACTCACACCCATCCATCACCCATCCACACATACACCCACACACACCCACACTCACACCCATCCATCCACCCATCCACACATACACCCACACACACCCACACTCACACCCATCCATCACCCATCCACACGTACACCCACACACACCCACACTCACACCCATCCATCACACATCCACACATACACCCACACACACCCACACTCACACCCATCCATCCACCCATCCATCCACCCATCCATACACTCACACCCACACTCACACCCATCATCCACCCATCCATACACTCACACACACCCATCCACATACACATGCACACACACACTCACATCCATCCATCCACCCATCCACACACACACTCCCACCCATTCACATACACCCCCACATTCACACCCACCTCCCCCCCACACACACAACCCCCCCCCACACAAAATTTTGGGGGTACAGACACAACTTAGATTCTTTGTTGTTCTTTCCTACTCTTTCCTCCCGTGCCACCTCCCCTGTGTCCCGTGACACATTTCTACAGGGGTTCCCAACCCCCCGGCCACAGATTGGTACTGGTCCATGGGCTGTTACGAACTGGGCTGCACCACAGGAGGTGAGTGTCAGGTGAGGGAGCTGAGTTTCATCTGTATTGACAGCTGCTCCCCATTGCTCACATTACTGCCCGAGCTTCACCTCCTGTCAGATCAGCAGCGGCATTAGATTCTCATAGGAGTGTGACCCCTATTGTGAACTGCATGTGCCAGGGATCTAGGTTGCACGGTCCTTATGAGAATCTAATGCCTGATGATCTGTCACTGTCTCCCATCACCCCCAGATGGGACTGTCTAGTTGCAGGAAAACAAGCCCAGGATTCCCACTGATTCTATATCATGGTGAGTTACAGTATTATTTCATTATATAGTACAATGTAATAATAATAGAAATAAAGTGCACAATAAATGTAATGTGCTTGAATTGTCCTGAAACCATCCTCCCATCCCCTGTATCTGTGGAAAAATTGTCTTCTACAAAACCGGTGCCTAATTGTCTTCCACAAAACCAGTCCCTGGTGCCAAAAAGGTTGGGGACCACTGTGTTACTGTCTCCCTCGCAAGTGACTACACTCAAGTGACTAAAGTTTTTCCTTGAGAAAATTATGGGATCGAAGAAAGGAAAATCAAACCCGCTTGGGGTGTTTTCTCTTTTTTTTTTTTTTTTTTTTTTTTTTTGAGATGGAGTCTCGCTCTGTCTCCCAGGCTGGAGTGCAATGGTGCGATCTCGGCTCACTGCAACCTCTGACTCCCTGGTTCAAGTGATCCTCCTGCCTCAGCCTCCCAAGTAGCTGGGACTACAGGTGCCCGCCACCATGCCCAGCTAATTTTTGTATTTTTAGTAGAGATGGGGTTTCACCATGTTAGCCAGGACGGTCTCGATCTCCTGACCTCGTGATTTGCCCGCCTCGGCCTCCCAAGTGCTGGGATTACAGGCGTGAGCCACCACACTCGGCCGGGTGTTTTCTCTTATGTTTGTTTTTTTTTTTTTTGCCACTGTCCACCCCGAGATGCTATGAGGCTATGATTCCTTGCAGTGATGCCCCCAAGAAGGAAGACTTCAGCTGGCCTCAGTCTCATTACCAGGCTTTTTTTTTTTTTTTTTTTTTTTTTTTTTTTGTGGGAGGGCCTTTTTTTTTTTTTTTTTTGAGACAGAGTCTTGCTCTGTCACCCAGGCTGCAGTGCAGTGGTGTGATCTCCGCTCACTTTAAGCTCCTCCTCTCGGGTTCACGCCATTCTCCTGCCTCAGCCTCCGCAGTAGCTGGGATTACAGGTGCCCACCACCACGCCTGGCTAATTTTTTGTGTTTTTAGTAGAGACGGAGTTTCACCATGTCAGCCAGGATGGTCTCGATCTCTTGACCTCGTGATCCGCCCACCTCAGCCTCCCAAAGTGCCGGGACTACAGGGTGGGGGGACCTTTTTCTAAGGAAAGCTCAAATCACAGTTGAGATCAATAACCGACACCCAAGTCCTGTAAATGAAATAGGCACAATATAAAATTACTCTTTCTCCCAGGAACACTGAATATGTGATTAGAATAAGCCCAGGGAGAGGAAATAGCTCAGGATCTGTGGCCTCCCCAGCAGACACCATAGACAGCATCATCCCAGGGGACACCAAGAAGGAAGTGTGCGGAAATTCCAATGCTGGGATTCCAGGCGTTGTCAGTTGCTGTGATAAAAGCAAGCAGAACAATATGCTGACACAGTGTTCAGTAGATTCCTTGACATTCTTTTTACAGGCTTGCGACGTGAAATTTCCTGATGAAGTCTATAGATAAAGCGGTGTTGCACATTTAGACAGGGTGAGCCTCAGTGGAGAGAATTATGCTGAAAATGTGAGCTTGATTCTTCTTCTTGGCATTTGGTATTAACTGGAGAACCACAGGCTCTTCTATTTGGGAAGGAAAGGAATCAACATTTTTCTTAGAAAAATTCAGGCCTCACTCTTCACGCTGGGAACTGGTCCTGTGTGACTCAATGGTATTCCCTTTTTTCCTTAACCCTCCTTTGAATAGCTGTGGCTTCCCCTGGCTAGGTGATTTGTGTGTGTGTGTGTGTGTGTGTGTGTGTGTGTGTGTGTGTGTGTGTGTGGTTTTTTCTTTTCTCCTAGAGTAACTCTGGCCATCGGGTAGTTGGATGAGTCAGGAGGACCTTTGTGCCGTGAGGACTGTCCCTGCCTGTGGGGTGGCTCTGCAGTTGTGAGCTCAGATTCTAGGCAGGTGGCCACGGTTCCTTTCTGAGTTGTTTGCACAGATGCTTCCAATGAATATACTCATGGTGGAACTAATTTCTAAATCTTAGGATAGTATTAAATGACTATCAGTATTTACAAGAAGAAAGACTTAATGTCTTCTTTCTGTCTCTTTCCACATTAAAAAAAATATCTAGCATCTAAGAAGGTGCTCAGTAAGCATTCACCCTGAATCTGCCAATTCCCGGTTCCTTTATTGGTGTAGTGGGCACAGGCTTTAATATTCAGCCTTGTAAAGTCAGCCTTGTTTCAGATTGTAAAATTGTACAAACCCAAGATTTTATTCCTTAAACAAAGATGTATGGGCCGTTTGTTTATTCCATTTTTCACTCTCACGTCACTTACACTCCAGCTTCTAGTAAGGTATAGTGAGGTATTCTTTTTATGTTTCTTATGAAATATTCTTGCCTCATAAATAGCTTTCTGTTTTCTAAAACTGGATCGCTGCTAATGAACACTGTTTTCTTTTAAATTGTGAAATTTTCTTCGTAGCTTTTCCTAGTCGGTTTTCATGACATCATGGGGAAATACTTCCCACTGGTTCATTTACATGGAGGGAGATTGTCAGAATTTCCTTGATAAAATGTTTATGGGTTTAAGAGGTTTATGAATCAGCTATAAATATTTGCTCTGGGTTTATGAGACCTCTCCCCATAAACATTTTGTGTGTTTTTCTATTGCTCATTGAAATGTCTTTGGAGAATCAGCTCCTTGGGGCACATAGGCCTGGGGAAGGGTTGTACGTGACCCATTTTAAAAGGCTGTATTGTGAATAACCGTAAATTTTGTGCTTGACTTTGTTATAACGCACAGTTCAAGTCATCAGTGCTGGGCATGAAGGTTTGAGTTTTTTTAAATCCCATTCTAGGTCTGACTTTTGGTTACCTTTTTAAGTGTTTTCTTTAGACCAGCAGAGAGGGACAGAGCTTAGTGTTCTACTGATTCCTGCAGGGGAGACACAGTGGCACCCTCTGACCTCCTGGTTAACTTGACTGAATGAAACCATGTGCACTGAAGTCTGTAGAACCCTGTATATTGGGAAATGTAGTTGTAATGAATTAAAATTTGACAGAAACAAAACTTTTGGTAAAATTCTAATAGTATAGATTAGAATTGTATGGAGAATAAAGAACTGCAACCAGCGGTCTCAGTGTTGAGGCTGAAAATTGGAGGCTCTGGTCTCCCCTGATCTGAAGTGATAGAATCATCGAATCTTTGTGGGTAATGGGATGGGTCACTAAAGCCTCTCATCCCAGGTGCTGGTGACTGCAGGCAGTTTCTGAGGTTCCGCCTCAATGTGCGTGTTTCCTTTTTTTTGTTTTGTTTTGTTGAGATGGAGTCTCGCTCTGTGACCCAGTCTAGAGTGTAGTGGCACCATCTCAGCTCACTGCAGCCTCCACATCCTGGGTTCAAGTGATTCTCCTGCCCCAGCCTCCTGAGTAACTGAGATTATAGGTGCATGCCACCACCCCTGGCTAATTGGTGTATTTTTAGTAGAGATGGGTTTCACCATGTTCACCAGGCTGGTCTTGAACTCTTGACCTCAAGTGATCCACCTTCCTTGCCCTCCCAAAGTGCTGGGATTACAGGATGAGCCACTGCGCCCAGCCTCGATTTGCATGTTTGTGATTTGCAGGAAGGAGTCACCCAGGACAACTTGTCCCGTTTTTCAGCAGCTATCATTCTCGGAGTCCTACGTAGAACCTTGTGCCTCCTTCGGCCCAGGACTGAGTTTCATGCCGATGTCTTCTTCCCAGGTGCTCTTCTTCTTCCTCACACGCAGGTTCTGGGAGCTCAGTCCACTCTTCTCCTCTTCGCAGGTGGCCACGGCTTCCTGTGTCTTCCCTTTTCCTGCTTTTTTGGCTGTAGACTGTTTCAGGGTTCACCAACATGGAGAGACAGACTCATCACTTTGAAACCTCTCTAGGATTCTGCAGGAGACACGGGTGGTGGCAGTGGTGGTTTCTGGTGCATGATACAGGTGGGAGAAGGAGGGGGAAAGTACTTCATAAGAGCTCCAGCTTTGGACTCCTGACCCTGATGCTGGACAACAGTGGCTCAGGGTGATTCCCTGTCCTTTCTGAGCTCTCAAGATTGCCCCTGTGAGTATACATCCATCATCGTTCTTGGGAGGATTGTGAGGCAATACCTGTAAACCACTGTTTCATTCTGTTTCGTGTTCCTATAACAGAATACCCGAGTCTGCATAATTTATAAAGAAAAGGTTTATTCAACTCCTGATTCTGGTGGCTGCGAAGTCTATGACGGGCAGCTGCATCTGGTGAGGGCCTCAGGCTGTTCCCGCTCTTGGCAGAAAGAGGAAGGGGAGCAGGTGTGTGCAGAGAGATCACATGGAAAGAGGAAGCAAGAGAGTAACCAGGGTCTTAACAACCCACTCTCGAGGGAAGTCATCCATTCCTTCAAGAGCCAGAACTCACCCCTGAGGGAGGACATTAATCTAGTCATGAGGGATCTGCCCCCATGACCCAGATAGCCCCTGCTAGACCTCAGCTCCCAGCACTGCCACATTGGGAATCAGATTGCAACATGACTTTTGGTGGGGACAGACGACATTCAAATCATAGCAAGCCTTGTAGCACAGAAGTGACACTCGAACACAGCAGAGCTCTTAGGATGTGCCTGGGAGGGCGGTGGCTGCTTTGTAGAGCTGGAAGTTACTGACACAGGCTAGGGCAGGCAGGGGGCTGCAGGAGGGTCTGGTTCAAGCTGAGGCCAGACAAGGAGGATGGAAAGAAGCTCTGGACTTTGTCTGCAGCAAGTTTGCTATCCTTAGATACTGCATCAGGACGTTGGGGCAGAGCAATAGTGCTGAGCTGACGCCTCTGACTAGTGCATCGGAAAGCAAATTTGGTAAGAGGTGCCCAGTGCCGTTGGGAGGCAGGGGACTGTCAACAGAGCCATCAGGTACCACCCTGAGGTGTTTTCCAGGAGACGGCTGCTTTCTCTCTAGTTCACTTCGCTGTGTCTGTGACGCTCTAAACTTCTTGGTGTCATCCATTCTTCACTGGAGGCTGCAGGACCTGTTGACTTATTTTCTCAGGAAGTGCATTTCTGTTTGAAGGGCGTCAATCCCTGGGTGGGACCGAATGTTAGAGCACCACCAAGGAAAGGTTTTCTCTCCTGATAGCTTTTTCTTTTTCTTTTTTGGATGTTTGACTGTAAGTCACTTTATTGAAGCAAAAGTTGAGGAGGCCATTCTAAGCAACTTGGGCTTAGAAGGCAAAATTTAAAATAGCCTTTCAATTCAGCTCTTCTGACTTTACAAAAATGATCCTCTTCCCTCAATTTCTGAGAGTACACAAAGTATTAAGAGAGACTTACTTTTCCTACTTATAATTCAAAAATTTCAAGAAGGCCGGGCGTGGCGGCTCACGCCTGTAATCCCAGCACTTTGGGAGGCTGAGGAGGGAGGGTCACCTGAGGTCGGGAATTCGAGACCAGTCTGCCCAACATGGCGAAACCCCATCTCTACTAAAATTAGCTGGGCGTGGTGGTGCAAGCCTGTAATCCCAGCTACTCAGGAGGCTGAGGCAGGAGAATCACTTGAACCTGGGGGGTGGAGGTTGTAGTGAGCTGAGATCGCGCCACTGCACTCCAGCCTGGATGACAGAGCAAGACTCCATCTCAAAAAAAAAAAAAAAAAAAAAAAATTACAGGTGGACAAAAAGTAGTGATAGTCTCCAGAAGAAGGCATTCTTATTTGGCCCCATGTCCCCTGGCCTATCTGATAGGATCGGATATCAGTTCTCTACCAGCCACAAGATGGAAAGCAGTATTTACTCTTGGCCAGTGACACAGGCTCTTGTTTCTAGAAGATAAATGGGTTGAGCATCAGCATCCATTGGACATTATTGCAGGAAGATCATCTAAACTTTTGGAACTCTCGTGTGCATTTTGGACAGCTCTTTCTGTTGTATGTTCTTATCATGGCCTTGCCAATTGGTTCAAATAATGTTTACAGCTTATTATTTCCATTTAAAATGATGCCATCACATTTATGCCGTGTATATGTTAAAATGCATTATTTGATGCTTTTTGGCTATACAAGTTTTATCGTATATGTAGCCTTAAATGTTTGGGGAATTGCTTGATTTCCTTCAAGCCTGGGTGTGTGGATTTGTGAAATTCAAATAGTTATGATTCTGGCCGGGCATGGTGGCTCATGTCTGTAATCCTAGCACTTTGGGAGGCTGAGGCAGGTGGATCACCTGAGGTTCAGAGTTCGACACCAGCCTGGCCAACGTGTAGTGAAACTCTGTCTCTACTAAAAAATACAAAAATTTGTTGGGCGTGGTGATGCACGCCTTTAGTCCCAGCTACTTAGGAAGCTGAGGCAGGAGAATTGCTTGAACCCAGGAGGTGGAGGTTGTAGTGAGCCGAGATTGCACCACTGCACTCCAGCCTGGGTGACAGAGCAAGACTCTGTCTCTCAAAAAAACAAAACAAAAAACAAAATACCCCCCTACAAATAGTTACGATTTTAAGAGCCATGTTGTGCATTTGATTGTATTTCTCTTTATTCCTTGTGGTTGGAGAAACACATGCACTGTTGGTTTCTGCCGGAGTGTCGGGCCCCAACAGCTGTGTCCCGGCAGTAGGTAAGAGTTGGGAGCCTTGGACTGGCCAGGCGTCGGGAGTGTCAGGCAGCTGGTCGGTTTGTGTTGTTGACTGGCTGGGTGGCCCCACACACTCGAGCAATTCTTTGGGGCCTCATTTTCTCTTTTTCCCCTTAAAATGATGCCAGAGTCAGTGCTTTATCTTTATAACAATTAGTGCTGTTCTCTGTATACATCACAGCCTACATCACAGCCCTTGCTCAGCGCACGATGGGTTCCTTCGCCTTGTCCTCCAGCCTCCCTGCAGGCTGGGATGTCTACTGCAGCTAATTTCAAACTATTACACGAACATGTAGCAAATATGCGTTGGAACATGTCTCATGTTATTTACCCCAGAGAACCCAGTGTTACTCTTGATTTCATCAGTGCAGTCAAAGCGGAATGTCCCATGTTTTCCTTTCTTTAGTCAACACTTCTAAAATCAGCAGACTGAAGCTTTGCAAAAAATTCAGCAATATCCTTCTGAACTGTGGAATTAGCTTGTGTCTTGTATGAAGGATTTTCTGGTCTCAGTTGCAGGCCAGCACCTTTCTGTCCTCCACTCCAGTATTGATATTCTGTTCTTTTGTTTTTCAACAGAAGAAGGCTCAAGCTTGGAGGAAACTGGCTTTAACTGGGGAGAATATTTGGAAGAGACAGGAGCAAGTGCTGCTCCCCACACATCATTCAAACACGTATGTAAAGCAGCTTGTGTCTTCTCTGTGTCTAGAAAGTGGGAAGGGAAGGAATCTATAGGGAGAAGCCGGAGAACTCAATGGAAGAAGGGCAGAGGAAAGAGGGAAATTCGTGGCCAGGCATGGTGGCTCACACCTGTAATCCCAGCACTTTGGGAGGCTGAGGCTGAGACTGGCAAATCACTTGAATTGAGGAGTTCAAGACCAGCCTGGGAAACATGGCTAAATCCCATCCCTACAAAAAATATAAAAATTAGCTGGGTGTGGTGGTGCACGCCTGTAGTCCCAGCTACTTGGGGGGCCGAGGTGGGGAGGGTCACTTGAGCCCAGGAGGTGGAGATTGCAGTGAGCCAAGATTGCGCCACTGCACCCCAGCCTGGGTGATAGAGTGAAACCCTGTCTCAAACAAAAAGGCAAGATGGAAATTCAGCCAAGATTTCTTAGGAAGAAGGAGGAGACCTGGAAGTTAGCTTGGTTTCCCTGGATAGCTACAGGGAATATAGACCACAGGTAGGGTCAGCTTGAGTAAGTAAAGAGCTGGAAAACTAAACCAGTAGGTGTAATGTATTCTTAGTAGGTGTAATGGCTGTATGTTTTCAGCTTCAATTAATATTTTGATTTTGAAAAAGCTCATAAAAGATTTCCAGCCATTTATTGGCAGATGAGTCAGATTAGAGGAACTAACCATAAATATGATGAAAACATTTGGATCCAACCAAAAAAACCACTCTCATCAATAATGTTTCTTTGGATAATGCAAATAGCATGTCCAGCACTGGGCAAGTCCCAGAAAATTTTTAAAAAGTCAGTTTTTATCAGGTTTTCGCTTTGGTGTAAGATACTGGTAATGTATAATATCATTAGCAGGGAAAAGTCTAACTCACCTGGGTTCTAAGAAGTTGGGTCCTGGAAATTTAGTCTTTAATTTTTGTTTTAATAGAAATAGAAATGGAGATTTAACTCTGAGAAACATTTTTCACTTTGTCCATGCAGGGCAAAGATTCAGCCTGAGTTTCATCAGTAAATCGGGGCACTTTCTTAACCTGTTCTTCCTTTTGGCTCCTTGGCTGAATGAAGAAGCCAGAACTTTGATTCCTTATTTTTATTTATTTATTTTCTGTTAGCCAAGTCTCGCCATGTTGCCTGAGTTGGCCTCGAACTCCAGGCTCAAGCTATCCTCCTACTTCAGCCTCTCGAGTAGCTGAGATTACAGGCATGCATCACCATGCCCGATTTGATTCCTTATTTTAATACAACATTTTATTCTTTTTAGAGGTGAAGTGTTCTTTCCAAAAGGAATTTAAGATTTTTATTAAATTTCTGTGACCCTGAAAAGGTAGATCATGTTTCCATTTCTCTTTATACTCATCATGCTATATTTACTAGTTTATTATGAACGTGATTGTGGCTGTTTAGTAAAACCAAGAGCTAAATATTAAAACATAGCAAAGCTTTCAAGCATATGATGTGGTTATGGTCCCGCAAAAGCCATTGTAACATTTATATCTTAAGATGCTGAGATGATTTGGCAGTTGCCTTAGGCAGTTTAGGAAAGAGACATTGATCACAATTTTTCCTTCCTTTCTGTACTGAGAAGTTATCAATTTCTCTCTGTATGGAGTCACTCCTATTTTCTTTGATTCAGTCAATCCTTCCACCTCCCTTTTAATCACAATATAGTGTCCTGGGGGCCAGAGCTGGAGGCTGTCCTTCAGGCTGCAGAAGTCCCCAGGTCCGTATGCCAGGTTTAAAGGAAAAGTAGCCTCAGACCCATGCAAGTGTGATTGATAAGTCTGTCATCTCCTTTCAGCAGTGGCCACTTGCGGACAGCGGATATGTCAGCTTTGCAATGTTAAGACCCACCAGGCTGGAAAGCTTTTTCTGGGGTTGAGGGCTGGTAGATATCAACAGACTATCACCCTTAATTAAAAAACAACTCCATTTTCTAGGGCCATGTTGTTCATGGAATAGCCCCTATCATGTGGTCCTGTGAGTCCTTGAAAACCGTGTAGTCCACATTCAGATGTGCTCTGAGTGTAGAATACACACCAGGTTTTAGAGGCTTTATTCAAAAAGAAGACAGTTGGTTGTTTCATTAATGTTTTTTATATTGATTACATGTTGAGGTGATAATGTTTTGGATATATTGGGTTAAAATATATTGTTAGAATTAAATTTATTCTTTTTTGTTCTTAACGTGGCTGGCTGCAAATGTAAAGTTTAGCATTACGTTTGTGGCTTCCATAGTGTATTACTTAGATAAATACATGCCTGTTTTAGAGCAACAGGAATATTGTTTGTAAGTGCCATATTTTTTAGTGGTTTTTGTCATCTTCTGGATGTATTGTGTCTAGTGTAGTAATGGGTTTTCTCTATTTCTGATTCCTTAAGGTTGAAATCAGCATTCAGAGCAACTTCCAGCCAGGAATGAAATTGGAAGTGGCTAATAAGAACAACCCGGACACGTACTGGGTGGCCACGATCATTACCACGTGCGGGCAGCTGCTGCTTCTGCGCTACTGCGGTTACGGGGAGGACCGCAGGGCCGACTTCTGGTGTGACGTAGTCATCGCGGATTTGCACCCCGTGGGGTGGTGCACACAGAACAACAAGGTGTTGATGCCGCCGGACGGTGAGCCCCTGTTTCAAAGGCTTCGATTTACGAGCCGCCATCCTTCATGACGCCTGTAATTTTGCAAGGAGCAGAGAGAACCTTGCGTAGAATCCCTAATGGTCTTAGTGCAAAGGTCTCACAGTTCTTTCAGAGTGGTTTCTCAGGTTTCCTTAGCTGGAGGGAGATCAGTGCATTTTCAGATGTCAGAGCTGGTGCTGACAATGGAGCCAAACTTGGCTTTTCGGAACTGAAAGTATGCCTAATCCTTAAATTCCTTTTGGAGGGTAAGAAAGGAAGGCTGAAAGGACATCAGGAATTGGAGGGTAAGAAAGGAAGGCTGAAAGGACATCAGGAATTGGAGGGTAAGAAAGGAAGGCTGAAAGGACATCAGGAGTTGAGGTCTTGTGTTTGGTGATTGGCCATGTTGCTTTTCTTCTGCTTTAGCAAGTCGACATTTGAACAGTAACAGAGTGTCTTAAGCAGGCTTCTCTAATAACTTTTCATCTGTCTTGTTGGGAGACTGTCAGGGTGTCAAGCTTTTAGAAAACCATACAGCACTTGTGCCCTAAAACTTAAGGTATAATTAAAAAAAAAAAAAGAAAGAAAGAAAACCATACAGATGAGAGAAATGACATTGGTCTCAAGGGAGTGGTCAAAGCCCATATAGATATGATCAATTTAGTTGCTACAAAGCCACTATTCTCTCCGGGGGCAGTTTTACCCCCCAGGGGACACCTGGCAATATCTGGAGGCATTTTTGGTCAGGGCCATGGGAGTTGCTACTACCATTTAGTGGGTGGAGGCCAGCGATGATGCTAAACCCCCGCAATGCACAGGACAGCCCCATAACCAATAATTACCAGGCTCAGCCTGCCAGCAGTGCTGAGGGGGAGAAAGCCTGCTGGAAAAGAATGGGCTGGACATGATAAATGCATTGAAGGAATTCATCTGATCCCCTAAGTGAGAAAACTGAGGGCAGCTAATTACGTGAATCTCTACACCCCACTCTCTATGTTTTATTGTATGATAATGGCAGCAGCGATACTTGCAGGCTCTTGATGCCACCTTGCAAATGTGTGTGGTGTCCTCTTCGTAGCTAGCTGCCTGTTTTCATCTTGAAGTGACGTATAAACTTGGAGAGGTGAAATCCCCAGGTTCATTCTGTTTGTGGTATTAGCAGTTGCCTTACTTAGCCTTTCACGGTATCGGAGCTCTATCTTTTTTTTTTTTTTTTTGTTATGATATATTGTTTTTCTGATAATTTGGAATAGCCTGTGGTTTTTTAATTACCCTTTGTTAGGTGTAATTGATAGCCTGCTAAGAAGGGGGTCATAAAATGGCTGGAGTTAAGAGTTGCATTTATGTGACATTTGTCAGGATCGAACCCATTGCCATGGCGTTAGCTGACATTTTGACCCTTTATTGTCTCCAAAGAAAGAGAAAAAGGGTCTTCTTTCTTTCTTTCCTGCATTGGGTCTTTGCACCCGCTCTTTCCTATGCTGAGAACCTCCTTCCTTTCCGCATCCTCCTCCTGCTCCAGCTGTCAGCATAGCTCCCTCTTCCACCTGCACCAAGGTTGACACTGTCTGTGCTCATGGGCCAGGTCACACCCTATCTGCACCACGTGGCTGCCTGCGCCTTCAGTGTTCATCACGGTTGCAGTTGTACTATTCTTTTCTTTTCTTTTTTAAGATCTAATTGACGTGCCATAAAACTCACCACTTTAAAGTGTACAGTTCAGTGATTTTTTAGTATATTCACAAGGTTGTGCAACCATTATTACTATAATTCCAGAACATTTCTTTTATCACCTCCAAAGTCACTCCCCATTCTCCCCCTCCCCGGAAAACCCTTGGCAAACACTAATGCACTTTCTGTTTCTGTAGATTTTCCTATTCTGGGCATTTTACATGCATGGAATCCTATGCTGTGTGGCCTTTTGTGTTTGGTTTATTCTCTTAAGCATAGTGTCCTCAGGGCTCATCCCCATGGTAGCTTGTGTCAGAATTTCTTTCCTTTTTAAGGCTGAATCATATTCTCTGGCATGGACTGATCATATTTTGTTCTCCCTTCATCAGTGGGTGGACATTTAGAGGCAGCTGTTCTTCCACTTGGGTGGTTCTTTGAATGGAGTACACTTTATCCCCCCAGACAGTAAGCTGCATGGTGTGAACCCACTCGTCTGTGTACACCAGCTCTAGCACGTGCTGCCTGTGCTTGAGGAATTCTCAGTAAAGATTCACTGAGTAATCGAGTGATTTACTGAAGAAGGTAAAAGTGCGGCTTACATGGTCATCTGAAATAGCAAGGAAAAGAACAGTCATTGTTACGAAAGGAGGAAGCACGTGCGCTCTCCTTCACCTTTCCTCCTTGAGCTGCCAGTAGTGCTGTGTGCACCTTCTCTCTGGACATGCGAGCCTGGATTTCCAGCCTCTCTATTCAGGTGAGTGCTGGAGAATGGCTGTTCTTAAGTCAGGTTTTATTTTTAGTTCCCGCTCCAGCTCTGTGTACGCAAATCGCAGGGTCAGGAGGCACACCCTGGGAGGCACAGTGCATGCTCATGCTTTTGGTAACATCTGATTCACTCAGCCCCAGACCCAGCCTAAACAGGTCCTGAGGGAGATTGTTAGATCTGCCTTTGAATTAAAACCTCCACTGAGGTGAGAAGCTGTGGTGTAACGTTTGATTAATTTACCTATGATTTCTGATCCGTCGTGAAGTAAATCAGCCTTGATGGAGGAATTGTACTGATGGAATATTGAGGAAATGCCAGGTCTAGTTAGAGATTTAGAGACCTTCCCCCATCCCCAACTCTGCACGCAGGTGCCACACATTTGTGCCCCCTCACACTCAGGGGAGTTGCGTTCATGCCGGGGGCCGTGTACACACTTGGGGGCATCAAGAGAAGGGCACACAGAGGGGGCACATAGAGTGGGTGGGAGCCTCAGGCCCCATCCTTGTTGCCGACGGTTTTACCATCACATTCATGACTCACTCTTCAAGTTTAACACTTGAATCTTGAAAGGCCCTTGGAAAGGATGTAAGATGGTTTCATTTTGTAATAGCTTCTCTAGTGAATAGTTTTAGAGACAAGTTCTGGGGTCTTGAATCTGAATACTCTAAGAGCTAATGGGTTCATTTGGTAAAAATGTATGCTGTTGCTTGAGAAAGAGGGCAGAGTTTATTAATCAATTCTTCCTTCTCCCTCAGAAGACAAATGTGGCAGCAGTCACACACACTCTCAGAAACACCATCAAATTTGTATCCTACTGACTTTGCCACAGTCACACTTAAAATGACAAGTTCAAAAAGAAAAATGAGAACACCCTGGAAAAAGGGAAACCATAAATGTGATGGAAATACTTAAAGTCTTTTCAATTGTTAACAACTTATGCTAATTTGAGGAATTCTTCAGTGATATTTTTTAAAGAACTCAAAAACATTTAGTGGGTAATCAGTATGACTTGGAAATCTTTAATATGGAGAGCAGAGTCAGGAAATAGCAGGTTCATGGGGCAAGAAGTTTTATTGATCGCTGTAGGACAGAATAATTATTGCTTTGTAGCCAGAGGCGGCAGTTGTTCCGGAGGGAACAGTAGAATCTATTTTTTAAACAAGGATTCTTATTTGTGTGTTTTTTTTTCTGTCTTAGAGACCTGATATCATTGTAAATTCTGCAACCATACCTGGTCGATCTTTGCTGTGGTTAAACTTGAAAGGCACCGCAGAATATGAACAGGAGTTACAGCGATCCAGGGTGTATGATGTTTCTGTTTGGGAGGCTTCTTGGTGAGACGGAGATTTTCTTACTGATTCCAGGAGTCAGAGTGGTATAAAGGGAGGGGCCTGTGGCTGCAGCCCAAGATCTGAGTTCTTATCTTGCCTTTGCTATTAACTTAGCTCCATGGGTGAGTCCCCTTCTTGGGGTTCTCATCTTTGCATGAGGGGGGTATTAGTCTGTTCTCACACTGCTAATAAAGACATACCTGAGACTGGTAATTTATAAAGAAAAAGAGGTTTAGGCAGGGTGTGGTGGCTCACGCCTGTAATCACAGCACTTTGGGAGGCCGATGCGGGCGGATCACGAGGTCAGGCGTTCGAGACAAGCCTGGCCAACATGGTGAAACTCCGTCTCTACTAAAAATACAAAATTAGCTGGGCGTGGTGGCGCATGCCTGTAATCCCAGCTACTCGGCAGGCTGAGGCAGGAGAATTGTTTGAACCCAGGAGGCAAAGGTTGCCGTGAGCCGAGATCGCGCCACTGCACTCCAGCCTGGGCAACAGGGCGAGACTCCATCTAAAAAAAAAAAAAGAGGAGGTTTAATGGAGTCACAGTTCCACATGGCTGGGGAGGCCTCACAGTCATGGTAGAAGGCAAATTAGAAATGAGGAGCAAAGGCACGTCTTACATGGTGGCAGGCAAGAGAGCCTGTGCAGGGGAATTTCCCTTTATAAAACCATCAGATCTCTTGAGACTTACTATCCTGAGAATAGCGTGGGAAAAACCCGCCCCATGATTCTGTTACCACCCACTGGGTCCCTCCCACAACATGTGGGGAATTATGGGAGCTACAAATCAAGATGAGATTTGGGAGGGGACACTGCCAAACCATATCAAGGGGGTTGTGGTATAGAATCTCTAAAGAGCTTTCTAGTCTGAAATGTCTAGGTTTGTGACCCTTGTGAAGGAAGAAAGGAAGGAGGGTTTGGGTGCTAGTTTTCCTATATAATGCACGAGGAATGGAGTTTAGTTTGGAGTTAAGATCCATGGACGTCTAGCCCAGGAATCTGTCCAAAGCACAGACATCAAGTTTGTGAATTACTGTTGGAGGTGATGACAGTTTAACAGATTGTGAGACACTGTCATTAGGTCAGCAAGTTACGGTGTATGCCTGGGTAGAATTTTCCCCCATAAAGAATTGTAGACCCCAGTTCCCCATTGGAACCAGAGAACTGAGAGTTTTTAGCCCTTAGCTGAGTAATCAGCGGAAGCTGAGTCAAGTCAGTTGGTTGTGGATAACAGCCTGGGAATGTTTGGGAATTTTGCCCTTGTTTCATGGGGGAAGGGAGAGAATGCCTTTCCTTGTCAGATGGAGGTTGCAGAGCTCCAGATCTTCGAGGACACTTTGGGATTGTCCAAAGTAGTTTTCTAGTAACTGGAGTCACTGCATTGAAAGAAAGTGGTTTTATTATCTTAGATGATAGTTTTACAGAGCACTTAGGACCCTGTGCAGTCCCATGTTTTCTTGCATGGCTCTTTTAAATTAATGTAAGCTGTGAATTAATGCAAGCCATCATTAGTCTGTGAAATGGTACAAGGAAGGAGAAACAGCATGGCGGCAGCTCCAGGAGATGTCATCACTAGGGGATTCCCATCAGCAGGCAGAGCTCCATTAATAAAGACGCATTTAGAGACCTGGGCTCTGTGACCAATCGGCCGTTCAGAGCAGCGTTCCTGCTTGTGAGCTAATCAGGGCTAATCTTTCATATTAAAAGTATTAAGGAACATATGACATTAAAGCGTCACCCAGTGCCGCGGAGGATTATGGCTCTTATTAGTGGAGCAAAATGTAAAACGTTTTGGTTTAGTAAATCTATAAGGCTTGATTTATTCATAAGCGCATGCAATGCTTGCAAGGGGCAGCTGCCAAATAATTATTGTTTATGGTGAGAATGTATGGAAATCATTTAATCCAGTGACGACTTCATTGTTATTTATTGAAAAGCAGTGACATTACCTCTTAATGTCTGGGGCTGGGGAGCTTTGGAGATTTAGTCGGTGCCTGCCGAGCCCCCAAAAAGATGCTCGTGGAAGATTGCAGGTAAGTATGTGTGATGATGTGGCTCCAAATAACACCCCTTGGCTTGTAAATGGAGACGTATTTATGAGTGCTTTCTACTGTTGCCATAAAAGTGTTGGAATTATAGTGCCTTAGGAGTCATGCTGCTAATTTTTATTTTCCCCGTTATTAAAATTTCTGTCATTTGAATTGCGTACTCTGCAGTCTTGGCAGAATTACTCAATTTACCATTCAAAGTTAAATCAAAATTAGTGGAGTTAGTTAATATACAACTCATTTGAATAAAGGAATGTTTATTCATGAAGTGTGAGGAGAAAGTGTGAAGATGGCCTTATGTTTATGTGGGCAGCTCCTGCCAAGTTTTAAAGCCTGGTTTTAGGAACGTTTTTGGGAATTGCCATTTTTACTGTAGTTGATTGTAGAGGACAAGATGCTGGCAGGTGGCACATGGGACAGGAAAGTGACTAGACAAGCAGGACTTACCCAGCTGTGACATGGCTCAACTGTGGACTCCAAAAAGTAGAATTAGGTTGTGTTTTTATGAGACTGACCCTTTTTAAAATTTATATTTTATAATGTAAATGACATTTCAGTAATATTAAGGGAACTTAAACAATCACATTATTTTCTTTGGTTATCTGACATTGTAACTGGAGTTCCATTTGTTTATCAATAAGAAAATTTAGTATATATGCTAAAAACTCATAATGAATCCTAACTGGGCACCCAGGCTTGAGGGAAGCAGAGAGACACTCATTAAATATTAGATAGCTTAGTAATAAGAGAGCAGAACACATTGGTATAAGAAAGGGTAGGATTATTTGACAAGTATGTCTGTAAATAAACCAAAAGTCATAGTTAGATATTTTATTAAAAAATGTTTAAATATTCTAAAAGTTTTAAATAAATATTTTAAAAAGTGAGTTAGTATTGTATTGTCAAAAAGCCATTTTTGATGATGGTGTGTGAAAGAGGGAACATTCAGGTAGGAAACAAAGTAACCCTTTCTCAATAGGCACTGAATGGACCTTTTACAACAATTCCCATGGTTTTGAATTCTATCTGATCAAGTAGAGAGTCTGTGTACACATTCATCATGGTGTAGACCAGGATGGGCTTGGCTTGTAGATGTGTGTGACAGAGAGAGTAGGTATGTATGTGTTTGTAACTTTTGGTGTAAACAGTATTTAATTTTAATATCTATCATTTACACATCACATCATAAAAGAGTCCTGCTGTGAATCAAAACCCTTCATATAGGTAATGGCAAATAACTCTTTGTTTATGAGTAAAAAATGAATAGTTTTTTTTTCCCCCCAGAAATCCGTGTTTGGTGTTTGTATTTGTTTTTCACTACTCACAATATGCCACACACTCTCTTTTTTATTTTTATTTTTTTGAGACAGGGTCTCATTCTGTCTTCCAGTCTGGAATGTAGTGGCGTAATTTTGGCTCACTGCAACCTCTGCCTCCCGGGGTCAAGCTATCCTTCTACCTCAGCCTCATGAGTAGCTGGAACTACAGGCACGCACCACCATGCCTAGCTAATTTTGTATTTTCGTAGAGATGGGGGTCTTCCTGTGTTGCCCAGGCTAGTCTCGAATTCCTGAGCTCAAATGATCTTTCCACCTTGGCCTCCCAGAGTGCTGGGGTTACAGGCGTGAGCCAGTGTGCCTGGCCCCACACACTCTCTTTGGTCATCTTGAACAGTGAATGAATGAATCACGAATTTCATTCTGTTTGTGTCATAGCTCTCCAATTAGAAGATACTTTTGTGTGCACCTCCTGTGGTACCAGGTAACGACGTTTAATCCTGTCAATCCTCAGAACATCCTTTTGAAGTGGCTGGTATTATTCTTATTTCATAGTTGAAGAAAGTGTGTTTGTTCCCAGATCAGGCAGTTTGAAGTAGATTTTAAGCTAAGAGGATTCTGGCCAGTTCTGAAATCGATGCTTTGAAAATAGCAGGAGGTCTGTAAATATTTGTTTATTGATTAGATTATATCATTAAGACTTTAGATTAAAATGGTCAGACTGAATATCACTGAGAAAAGTTGTAGAGTTGGTTTCTTGGTGATTTTTAAGAGTAGGGTAGAAAGCTGCTGTCCAGAATATTTTCCAATTTGTCTTTTTTGGCGGCAAATAAGTGGAAGAGATGTGGTCTGGAAGTTCTTTGCCGAATGGTAACCATGAGATTATGTAAAGTTATGTAAATTGCATCAGATGCTATTTGGGTTTTTCTGCGCTACATGAAAACCGTAAGCATGAAGCAGTGACTAGAAGGTTTTCCTTTTTAGTGCTAGTCATAAATGAATTTATTTTCTCCTGCTTCTCAACCCAGCAACATATGTAATTTAAGTCAAGCATGTGTTTGATTCTGAGTGGAATTCGAGGGGGGAGTTGGTGCTGTGTGTTTCCATGGCCTCGTGGCTCATTTTTGCTTCCGTGTTAACTCCTTCACTTCCATAATTGTCAGAGCCTCCAACTCATCTGGCCTCTCCCTCCCTTGGTGCCCCACCTCCCCTTGTAAGGATCCTGGCCCTGGCCTGCTCCAGATGCAGCTCAGATGATCACGGCCTCGGGTGCATGGAGGGCTCAGCTCCCATCTGGCCCCGTTCCTGCTCTGGGTGGACCTTTGAACGTCCTGAATGATCCTTGGGTTTCACTTGTATGGGAAGCCCCGTGGCAGCTTTACACAGACAAGGCCCCCGGGCACAGCTCGGCCTGCAGGATGTCTGGCTGCTCCAGGCTTGACCCTGCCTCGTTGACCTCCCTTTATTCCCCCTCCACCTCCACCTGTTCACTCTTCTTCGTGCCACTGACCGTCCTCTAGTTTGTTGGACTGGGGAGCTTCTCCCACTGTGCTCGCAGCTCTGGCCTCCTATCCAAGCCTCTGACTCCCCTGCTGCTTCTTATTAAGTCTTCTCTCATGGCTCCATATTTCAGGGCATACCTCCATTCTAGGGCCATGCAGATGTTCTAGGGACATGCTGATGTCCCAGGGGTATGCAGATGTTCTAGGGCCATGCCTCCATTGCAGGGCCACCATGCCTCCATTCCAGGGCCACCATGCCTCCATTCCAGGGCCATGCAGATGTTCTAGGGCCATGCTGATGTCTCAGGGCCATGCAGATGTTCAAGAGCCATGCCTTCATTCCAGAGCCACCATGCCTCCATTCCAGGGCCAAGTAGATGTTCTAGCGCCATGCTGATGTCCCAGGGCCATGCTGATGTTCTAGAGCCGTGCCTCCATTCCAGGGCCATGCAGATGTTCTAGGGCCATGCAGATGTTCTAGAACCATGCCTCCCTTCCATGGCCATACAGATGTTCTCGGGCCATGCCTCTGTTCCAGGGCCATGCAGGTGTTCTAGGGCCATGCCGGTGTTCTAGGGCAATGCCTCCATTCCAGGGCCATGCAGATGTTCTAGGGCCATGCAGATGTTCTAGGGCCATGTTGATGTCACAGGGCCATGCAGATGTTCTAGGGCCATGCAGATGTTCTAGGGCCATGTTGATGTCACAGGGCCATGCAGATGTTCTAGGGCCATGCAGATGTTCCATGGCCATGCAGATGTTCTAGGGCCATGTTGATGTCACAGGGCCATGCAGGTGTTCTAGGGCCATGCAGGTGTTCTAGGGCAGTGCCTCCATTCCAGGGCCATGCAGATGTTCTAGGGCCATGTTGAGGTCACAGGGCCATGCAGATGTTCCAGGGCCATGTTGATGTCACAGGGCCATGCAGATGTTCTAGGGCCATGGTGATGTCACAGGGCCATGCAGATGTTCTAGGCCCATGCAGATGTTCTAGGGCCATGTTGATGTCACTGGGCCATGCAGATGTTCTAGGGCCATGTTGATGTCACAGGGCCATGCAGGTGTTCTAGAGCCATGCCTCCATTCATTCCGGGGCCATGCTGATGTCCCAGGGCCATGCTGGGTTCCATTGGGTTTCACTCCAGGGCTGTGCCAACATTCCAGAGCCATACCAACGGTCGTGCCTCCAACTCGAGTCCTTAGGTTCTGCCGGTCATTAGGGAGAGTCTGCCTTTTTGAGCCTGGCTCTCAGGGAATGGTTGGTTTGTGCAAAGCTTGTCTCCTGAGTCTAGAATCATGTTAAAGCTTGGTGAGTACGACCTTCAGTTCAAAGTCTTGGGAACTTAGATGGTTCCCAAGGATTATTCAGAGGTTAATTTGGAATTGTTTTAGTCAGGGTTTTCCATAGAAATAGACCTGATAGGGTCAGTACATACATAGCAAGAAATTTTATGTTTAGGAACATGTGATTGTGGATGACCAGTGAGCCCAAAATCTGATGGGGAAGATCTGTAGGCTGGAAACTTAGGAAAGAGCTGCAGTTTGAGTCTGAAGCAGGGGGAGCCAGTGTTGCAGATGAAGTCCGAAGGCTGCCTGCTGGAGAATCCCCTCGGGCTTTGGGGAGGTCAGCCTTTCAATCTATTTGGGCCTTCGACTGATTTGATGAGGCCCACCCACAAGCAAGAGGATGATCTGCTGGTCAGTGTGTACTTATTTAAATGTTAGTCGCATCCAACAACACCTTCACAGAACCACCCAGAGTAATGTGTGACCAGATGTCTTGTCTGGGCACCGTGGCCCAGCCAAGTTGATGCATAAAATTAACCCTGCCAGGCGTGGATTCAGAGCTAGAGCTGAATCGCCCACTTGCTCTCCCCTGGCGTCATCTTAATGCCTTCTGGAGAGGCAGAACATTTTGTGTACACTTGGAATCACTGTGCTACTTTGCCCTAACAGACAATGTTCAGTTGATATTTCTGAATATAGATGCCCTTAACAGAAAGCTCTGGTAGGAATTCGAGAGATTGCGAAGTAAATGCATGGATTATCTTTAATGCTGTGAAAGTATAAATGTCAGAGTGGCAGGTCAGAGAGTCTCTTGAAAACCAATACGAAGTGGGTAGGAAGAAGAGGCAGAGACATTTCACCCACTTTTTAGGCTCACTGCCTGCTGCTCAGCAGGGCCACCATGATTTATCTGAATTCTGTGTCAATTTCCATAACTGCATATCACTCTACAGGTACCCACTGGGATTACTTACAAGAGATTTTGCTAATGAGGATGTACTTCCGGGTACAGGGTTCTGTGGCATGCATTTAAAAAGGCAGTAGCTGGCTGGGCGCCGTGGCTCACACCTGTAATGTAATTCCAGCACTTTGGGAAGCCAAGGAGGGAGGATCACTTGAGGCCAGGAGTTTAAGACCAGCCTGGCCAACATGGTGAAATGCTGTCTCTATTAAAAATACAAAAATTAGCCAGGCGTGGTGGCACATGCCTGTAATCCCTACTTGGGAGGCTGAGGCAGGAGAGTTGCTTGAACCCGGGAGGCGGAGGTTGCAGTGAGCCAAGATCATGCCACTGCACTCCATCCTGGGTGAGGGAGCGAGACTCCATCTCAAACAAAACAAAACAAAACAAAACAACAACAACAACAAAACGCAGTAGCTAGTGTGCCTTCATCATGGGTTGCCTTGAACTCCTTTGAAATCCTGCATCTTAATCACTATATGGCCTGTCCTCAACCCCAGGAAAAAAACGAACACATGAGCAGCCTTTGAGGTTAGCATTACACTTCCACGAGGATGAGAGGGGCCTCCAGCCTGGGGTGTGCCTTTTAGAGAACGCAGAGAATCACATGCACAGACAACCATGTGTATTCAAGAGTACGGAGATGCCTCTCCCTCGGATCCTGTTTTCAGGACTGGTCTCCAGCACCCTGTACCTACACATCAGGCTCAAATGGAGAAATTCTCTGCATCTCTTGTGCCCTTGGGAAAAAAGACCTGTGTCCGAATGCTGTGATTTTGTGAGTTGTGGTGTTGCCACTGTCAGAGTAAGAGATAAATTAATGGTCAAATTACTTCTTTCAGAAAGCACAAATATAATAAATTTTTTACAGAGTGAAGAATCACTTTGCAATAGTTCTGAGCAGTTTCTATTCTGGAAGAAATTAGTACAGAATTTCCAACAGTTGTATACATTGACTGGGGCTTCATTATTTATTTATTTATTTATTTTTGAGACAGAGTTGCACCTTGTCGCCCAGGCTGGAGAGCAGTGGCTCTATCTCGGCTTACTGCAGCCTCTGCCTCCTGGGTTCAAGCAGTTCTCTGCCTCAGCCTTCTGAATAACTGGGATTACAGGCGCCCGCCACCACGCCCAGCTAATTTTTTTGTATTTTTAATAGAGAAGGGGTTTCACTATCTTAGCCAGGCTGGTCTTGAACTCCTGATCTTGTGATCCAGCCGCCTCGGCCTCCCAAAGGGCTGGGGTTACAGACATGAACAAAATTAACTTTGTTTTACAAAATGAAAATGAAATATTTTACCATACAAATTCACACTGTTCTCACATATGGGAATCTGGAACCCTAGACGTGACATGGATGAAGCCGATGTTGACTTTTTACATTGGCAACTGAGTGAATGTTGAATGCTAGAACTGTGGATAGTTTTATTTCTTTATAAACATGCTTAATGAGATTCAGTGCTGAAAAAATAGATAAAATATTTAATTTTATTTTAATATTTTAAATTAAAATGTTTGATATTCACTAATTTTAATTTGCATTTCCCTATTAATTTTAGTAGACACTTTAGAAAGAGTAGGAGGACATTTGGAATCGTAGGACACTTAGAAGGAAAATAGCATTTTTGAACAAAATGATTAAAAAATTTGAATTTAGCATTTTCTTCAGTTTACGTATTTTGATGAAAAGAATTAAGATGAAGTAGACTGGGTATAGTGATATTTTATCTTTTAATCTGTTAGGTGATTTCTGTGACTAGAACATAAATTATGTGAAAATCTAGATTTTTAACTAAATAGTTAATTTTGCTGAAAGGAAGGCCAAATAGATAAAGATAAAATCATTTATGACTTACGTCTTTATCTGATTACTCATCCAAACATTGCTGGCCCATCAGCAGAACACCCAGACTCATGTTCTCATAATTGAATTTAGTCATCTCTGGCTTTTGGCCAACTTTCTGTCTTCTGTGCTCTAGTGCTTTTCCAGACTTTTTGATTGACATTATGAAGATATATTTGTCAGTGAAGGAGGACAGGGCATACTTTACTTAAAAGCCTGTTTGCTTGATTAATAACTTGTAAATCTTAAACATGTGCTACGTGAGCTACATTTGTATTTGCACTTGGTGTGTCTGGGCCTGTTTTAGGGTTCAGATACAGCCCCTGTGAACTAGAAGTCTTTCTAAGGATGATTTGGGCACGCGTGGATTTAGGGAGCCAGTTTCTACATCCACCAGGCCTGTCTCTTCCATGAGACTGATCTGCCTGAGAATAGACCAGTGCCGTCCTTTCCCACCTGTCCCGTCTTCTCTCCCACTCTTTCCTCTCCTACGTTGGTTGAGAAGGATGTCACCAACTGAGGTATCGAGATCTCATGCCCACTATGCCAGCCGTGACATGCAGACACACCAGTTTATCTTTTTATGTTTACTCATGACACTGCCACGTTATTCGTGTTATTTTGATCAAGACTAATGACAATTTTAATCATCTAAGCCAAAAGAAAATTTTTCTCTTATGGTCAAAGAAATTTTTTAAAAAGTTGAATTATATACTGCCTACTTTTTGTTGTTGTTGCAGAGAAATTGGATAGGATAAACAATACGAGACTGTTGGGATAAGAGTCTGGGGCATATAGGCTGCTGTTAAAGTAGTACTTATGTATATTTTTATTTATTTATTTTTTTGTTTTATTTATATTTTTTTTTTTTTGGAGAGGGAGTCTCGCTCTGTCACCCAGGCTGGAGTGCAGTAGCGTGATCTCGGCTCACTGCAACCTCCAACTCCCGGGTTCGAGCGATTCTCCTGCCTCAGCCTCCCAAGTAGCTGAGATTACACGCACGCACCACCACACCCAGCTAATTTTTTGTATATTTAGTAGAGAAAGGGTTTCACTATGTTGCACAGGCTGGTCTCGAACTGCTGACCTCAGGTGATCCGCCTACCTCGGCCTCCCAAAGTGCTGGGATTATAGGCATGAGCCACTGTGCCTGGCCTATTATGTATAATTTTAAATGTAGGATGGAAGGTATCAGATCATTTACTGAATATATTTATGGGAGTAATATAGGAGTTTTATTCCAAATGTCAGAGTTGCAGTACACAGGAAATTACATCCTTTGTGATGATTGAAATGAATGAAACATTTCTCAACGCCAAATTGAAAATGCATGATGGGAGGACATGAGTTCTTCAAGATTCTTGTATGGGGGGTATATGAACAAGAAAGCTTGAGGACCAGTTTTCACAAATGGTACTCAACCATAGCCCTTCTCATTTACCCATTAAGATGTTTTTTTTTTTTTTCTTTATGATTTAGATGCTTAGATGTTCTTAGGGCTTTGGAAGGATTTATCATAATTGAGCATTTGCTGAGTTTCTGTTTCCGTCATTGGATTCCTTTGGTAATATATTTG
The DNA here is from genome assembly GCF_000001405.40 of Homo sapiens. NCBI lineage: Eukaryota > Metazoa > Chordata > Mammalia > Primates > Hominidae > Homo > Homo sapiens. The sequence continues at coordinate 7,353,383 of NC_000010.11, read as the reverse complement.
CAAGTCTTTCTCTGAGTTCTTTGCTAATAGGAAAACAAGAGCTGACAGGAAGATCTTGGGTGGATGGGTAAAAATGGCTACTGGCTGTTGATTTGGTCCACTGTATCACCACATTACTGTTGACATAGTAATGGAAACACTTTAATATCAATCAGTGCATATTGGGGTTCTATTCTGTGCCTGGTGTTTTTTGGGTGGGAATATATGATACGGTTGTTATTAAGCATTTTATATTGAAGCACACTGGTAATATAGTCAACTTTTGGCCAATAGTGTGTACTCAGTGATGAACTCAATTTTGGCAAAGGGTGTCTTCTGTGGTGGCCCCCAGTGTACTTATTTTATTTATTTATTTATTTATTTTTATTTATTTTGAGATGGAGTCTCACTGTGTCACCCAGGCTGGAGTGTAGTGGCACGATCTCGGCTCACTGCAAGCCCCACCTCCTGGGTTCACACCATTCTCCTGCCTCACCTCCCGAGTAGCTGGAACTACAGGTGCCCACCATCACGCCTGGCTAATTTTTAGTATTTTTAGTAGAGACAGGGTTTCACCATGTTAGCCAGGATAGTCTTGATCTCCTGACCTTGTGATCTGCCTGCCCCGGCCTCCCAAAGTGCTGGGATTACAGGCGTGAGCCACCACGCCCGGCCCCAGTGTACTTATTTATTTGTTGGCCATTTCTGCCCTGCTGTTGACTGTTTCACTCCTTGGCTTAGCAAGAGGTGTTGGGAGCTGATTTGAAACTCTAATCTCTGGAGGCATGGGGAATATGACTCCTCTATTCTGGGTGGGGACTTCTCTGAGATAGCATTTCTTTTCTTTTGAGTTTAAAAATGTGTCTGTCTAAGCCTGGGCAACATAGCAAGACACCATTTCTAAGAAAAAAAAAATTAACCAGGTGTGGTGGTGCATGCCTGTAGTCCCAGCTACTCAGGAGGCTGAAGCAGGAGGACTGCTTGAGCTCAGGAGGTCGAGGCTGCAGTGAGCTGTGATTGCACCACTGTACTCCCACCTGGGTGACAGAGTGAGACCCTGTCTCAAAATATCTTTATGCTATACATTTTTAGAGGTCTGTTCAACAGCTATGGAAACTTCCAAGAGCCAGGCACTGACCTGACCCTGGCACCTGGAGCGTCCCTTCTGGGAGAATCCGCCTGTGGATGAATAGAAAGGCCCCTGCTCTCTGCTGGTATTGAAATAAAACACTGGCATCTCTGGAACTGAGTTATGTCTAGTAAGTGGCTCCTCCGACCAGTATACGGGGTGGGAAGTGTTGGTGTGAGTCACCTGGCCTGAGCTAGGGCCTCAGGCCTGCCTAGCACTGAAAGGAGCCCAGAAAAAAGCGACTTCAGAAAAAAGCGACTTCATCTGCTTGCATCACACTGTCCTCATCTTCACCGTGACAAACTGACACAATCTTGCTCTCGGTTTGATGGCAAACGCTCTCTGTAACCTGTCATGTGGAAAGTTCCCTCCTCATCAGATATATATATATATATTTTTTTTTTTACAGGTAAGAGGCTTTAATAGGCCTTGACAAAGGGCCGTATGAGTGGAGAAGTATCTGCGCCCTAATAGCAGGGCACTTGAAATACAGCCACACGGGTACAGTGTCTTTCCCTTAGCCAGTAGCTCCTCACTCGGCCACGTCCACTGTCCAGAATACTGTCGAAGAGTTGCCTTTTTACCCCCTGTGAGCTCAGAGAATTTTGATCATACTTGCCTGTGCTATATAATTGTTTATGTATAACTGATCTCAGCCATTTGCTTATGAAAGTAAGGCTGCGTGAATGTTTTGTTTTCAGAAATACACATTTTGGATCCTAATGCCACCACTTAATTAAACGTGCGAACCTGGGCTAGGTATTTTCTCTCTCAACTTTGTGACCTGCAGTATTCCCATATGTAAACTGGAGATAATGAGACCTGCCTTACAGGATCGTTTTGTGCATTAAATGGGATTTGTGTAAACTCCTTAGAGCAGTGCTAAGAATGAAGGTGGTAATGAGAAATGCAGTTTTTATCCATCCTCATTCTTCTGGTTAAGGATGGTATTTTATTCACCTTTTGATTTCTTATAATGCCTTGCACATAGTTAAAGCTCAGCAGTTGTTAAATGAATAAGGAACAAAGCCCCCATGAAAAAACAACAACACACAAAACTAATTAGTACTAGTGTATGTGTGTTATTCACTGGAGAGCCTTTTCAAATCCTACCACATTCAGAGACAACAATCACATTACTTGATTTTGAAGCCCAGCACATGTTGGAAGCAGAAAATTAGAAGCATGAGAAGACAGCTGTTAGTCATGCATATTGATATCACAAATAAATCCTAGTGGGCCACCCAATTGCAAGGAAGGAGGTAGAGGAGCTGGGAAAAGTGGTATCAACAGTAGAGCAATCTAATGCCTTTTACCAGAGGAGCGGATAGCCCCATCCACAGATCCAGAGGGTGTGTGGCTACTACCAAGGGAATTGCCAGCCATTGCATAGTAAAGCAGAATAATTGATTTATGGCACTCAATCCTCCAAAAAGTTGTAAATTTCTTTGGTGTCTACCAAGTAGGTGGCAACAGCAAAGGCTAACCTCAGGGGGATTTGCACAGGAGGAAAAACAAGATTGTAAAAACCTGCTGTTCTAGGAGTTGAAATGTATTATTATTATGGCTATGGTAGAACTCTTCTCTTCTTTGTCATGCAGACTTAAAGTATAAAACAGTCTTTATTCCAGCTTGTTAAAAGTGGGAATGCCGTAAACCAACACAGTGAGCCTGGAGCAATGACAAGCTACACAAAAATTAAACATATTTGTATTTCAAGATGTAGCGAGCTGTCGTGGCCAGTTCATGGCCACTTTGGGAAGACATTTATTAGGAGGAAGCAAGATGGCACTAAAGCGTGGGAGAGGACAGAAGCTGGAGCCGTCATGGGTGCAGAATAAGGCTGGCCCGGAAGAGTGGCTGGGTGGGGTCACACCTGGTAGTTCAGATATCTTTTGCTATCGATTTTCTAATTTTCTAAGATGAAGTGTTAATGTCCCAGCGTGTGGATGGTGCCTCCGGATGGACAATTCAGGTTGCATGCCCCAGACCTCGTGATTGGGACTGGCCAGAACAGACAAGACCCCATCAGCAGGATGGACAAGACCCCATCAGCGGGATGGACCCCATGGAAAAAAAAAAAATCTAGGAACTAAGACACGATTGGGCAGGAGGCTGGGAAACTTACTAGGAAGGATCAAGGTTGACTTTGCCACCATGACCTAGCCACGAACACGATGGGAAGAAGGCTGTGGAGTGGGGCTGTGGGCAGTGCCTCCCGGGGCCCTGAATGAAGCAAGCTTGGAGAGGGAGCTGGTGTGTGGGTCTGAGTGGCTTCTTTAATGTCAGCATGCGCCTATGAGGTGCTGACGTAGCCTTATTGCCTCTTTGAGAGTTGGCTTCCCATAGGGACATCCTAGACACTGGAAGATTTTTGCATCGGCATCTTCAGTCCATCAAATACTGTCCTTGAAATCCCACTGTCCTCAGTTGGTGATGGACAGGGGACAGACATTTGTGGTCTCATGCTGAGGGTCTTAGGAAGGCAAGAGGTGGATAAAAGAGTCAGGGATTGAGGGCCGGGCACGGTGGCTCACACCTGTAATCCCAGCACTTTGGGAGGCCGAGACAGGCAGATCACCCTAGGTCAGGAGTTTGAGACCAGCCTGCCCAATATGGCAAAACCCCGTCTCCATTAAAAATACAAAAAATTAGCTGGGTGTGGTGGCGGGCACCTGTAATCCTAGCTAGTCGAGAGGCTGAGGCAGGAGAATTGCATGAACCTGGGAGGTGGAGGTTGCAGTGAACTGAGATCATGCCACTGCACTCCAGCCTGGGAGACAAGAGCAAAACTCCGTCTCCCCCCCGCAAAAAAAAAAAAAAAAAAAAAAAAAAGAAAAGAAAAGAAAAAAGAGTCAGGGCTTGAAAGTGAGAGGATCCAAACTGCATCCTGTCCTGCCCACAGGGTGTTCTGTCCACCTTAAGTTTGACATGGTGGTTCTGAACCAAGCCTGAGACTGTGTTGGGATGAAATTCCTGGGGGCTGTAGAGTTGGGCAGTCTGTGCTGAGCATTCCATCACACGTGCCATTCCACACCATTTGGAGATCGAGCAGAACAGGTTTGATTGATGCCGGGTCATTTTGTTTTAGATCATTTTCACATTTATGATCTCTGGGATTATGGAAGAGGTCTGTGATTCTTGTGATTTCAAGAGAGGGGATTTAAAAATGGATAGGGAGGTTTGTCACAGATTCATGAGACCTGGGAGTGAGAAGGAAAGCGGAGTCAGAGAGGTGGAGAATGGGTGGGTGACCATCCTTGACCTGGGATCTCTGTGACCAGGACTCTCTCCATTTCTCATCCAAATGTCCTTTTTGGAGGTCTCATCCTTGTCATGGTGGTGACAAGACATGGAACTTACCACTTCTGAGGACTTGAACACCCTGAGAGCCTGAGGCTGCAGAAATGACCGTGGCAGGTTCCCTGCCATTCACGGAAACTGAAATGTGCCAAAGAGCTTATATCCAAGCCAAACAGCGTTTGTATTGGAGAAGTTGCCTTTCTCTCAAAAAGGATGGATAGGAAGCAGTTTTTAAAAAAAATCTGCCTGCTTTCTGAAGATGAACACAAATCTGGTTACATCCAACAGAAGATAGAATGATTATACAACATGAGGCTTAAATGTTTGTCTTTTAAAATGTTCTTAGGTTATGCAGCAAGAGTTTACAGTAGCCAACCTGTATTTCCAAGGAGATTTAATCAGAGGAAGTATCAAAGAATTGAAGATTAGTATGATTTTGAAGGTTTTCCTAATTATTTTTCTGATGATCTCTTCTCAACTAACAGAGCTGTTAAGTAGAGTTGATTAAACAATGTCAATTTTTTGAAAAGCCCTTAATGACATATTTACACAGTAGTTATGAAGAGCCCCCCAAAGCCCATCATGGATTATAGGAGCAAGTTATAGCCATTAAAACCATCTGTGATTATTTTTTTGTAGTAGAGAGTGATGTCAAGCCATCAGCTTCTGTTCAACATATTTCTTAGAAAAGGATGTCTCAAAACTTCTTCGAGACCGTCACGAAATGAAACAACTCCCCGATCCCACACGAACCTCTCCCACCACCCTCAAACATAAACCAACCCAAACCCTTTGAAAAGCTCCAAAGAAAATAAAATGTTTTTAGAACTTCTTTTCTTGTTCAAATGTTTGATTGACTCGTAGAGATGAAGGGATGATGATGATTTATATGCCGGGTGTACTGTTATTTGGAGTAATGTTTCATTAGATTTGTTTTGTGAAATGAAGAAAGCAGTATGTACTTTACATTTTTCATCTCTACATCTAATGTGCAATTTGTTAGCCCATCAAAATTAATTTTAGATCCCAAATGGATCTTTAGATTTGTAAGTACCGTTAATGGTTTTTTCAGTTAAGTGTATGTATTTATGTGCCCTTCTTGGGTGAATTTCTATGAAGGATTCTGCAGGGTGAATGTTGACATGAATAACTAACCAGCAAATAAGTGTCAATTAAAAATTCTATTACCATAATTGGCCGTGGCCCTTCCTCATCAAAGTACAGTATGTTTAGATCAAATTTAATTTTTTTTGAGATGCTTGCCTGCTTAGTTTCCCAATTTATCTCCTCTTTCTGCTAACAAAAGAAGCTGTTTTCCATTTAGAGGGGCATCTTTCTACGCTACCTACATGTGAATACTATGTTCAAACACTATAAAGATTTTTAAGTGTTTTTTAAAAACAAAGAGATTTGGTCATTTTTGCGGGTTTCTTTTCTCCTTCTAAATTTCATGGTCCCTTTTATCCTTTCTTCATGGATTCTCTACTTTTCTTTCTCAAAATTTCCCCTTTTCCTGAGGGATTTTTGCTTCCAGCTGATGTGAGGGCTTTGATGGTGTGGTTTATGTGTTAGGATTACAACTGCTGTTCCCAAAAGGCCCTAAAATGCTGTGGCTCAAGTTAATTTAGAAGTTTACTGCTCTTTCTTCCAAATTCCATGTCTGCATGGTGGAAGGCTGGTTCTCCTCCAGGTTGCCCAGCAAGAAAGAGGGAAAGGGAGAGGCTGGGGACAGCAGCTCACCTCCCACTAGCAAAACTCGGTCTCCTGGGATTCCACCAGGCCCTACCTAGTTACAAAGAGACTGGGAAAGGTACTCCCTAGCTGTGGGGCTCCTCCTTGCTAAAATCCCTGGGATGGGGAGGCTGCTTTTCCTACAACAAAGAAGGGAGGGAAAAAAGCCCTGGGGGACAGTTAGTCTCTGTCACAACTCATTTAGCTACACATTTTTGTTTTGTTTTGTTTTGTTTTGTTTTGTTTTGTTTTGAGACAGAGTCTGGTTTTGTCGCCCAGGCTGGAGCGCAGTGGCACAATCTCGGCTTACTGTAACCTCCACCTCCTGGGTTCAAGCAATTCTCCTGCCTCACTCAGCCTCCTGAGTAGCTGGGATTACAGGCGCCTGCCACCATGCCCGGCCAATTTTTTTTTTTTTTTTTTTTGTATCTTTAATAGAGAAGGAGGTTTCACCATGTTGGCCAGGCTGGTCTCGAACTCTTGACCTCAAGTGATCCTCCTATCTCGGCCTCCCAAAGTGCTGGGATTACAGGCGTGCACCACCTTGCCCAGCCTACAAAAAATTTTTAAAGATAACTAGTTCATCTTTGGAAAACATCTAAGGGAAAATGTAAGAGTGTTAAAATGTAAAAGAGAATGGTATTTTTTTTCCTTCATTTGGGAGTCAAAATGTATTGTCTATAGTTGATACACCAGTGTAGATTTTTAACACGTGATCTTTGCTGTTGATGGAATAGGGGATGCACTTTTCCTTGCATTAACGTTTAAAGAGATGGATGTTACCTGTACACAACATTTGTAAGAGACGGTTCTAAAAGGTTTGTTTTAAAAATTACCCGTGTCTTGCTCACATCCTCTGTTTCATGTCCTCTGTTTCAATCTGGTTTTTACTGTTTAAGATGAATGCAAGCAATCACCAAGACACAGCATCATAAAATGTTAGAACACCGGGGTCAGAAAGATCCTACAAGTGTCTAGAAGTAAAACAAAACACAACAGATTATTTTAAAAGGCTGGTGATTAAAATGTTTCGATTCAATCACTTTGCACAAGGGGATAAGAGCAAAAATTATACAGTGTGTATTATAGGATGCATATAGTCAAATGTCAGGCTCAAAATTAGGCCAGTAGCTTCTGCTGCTTGGACGTTAATCTTGAAGCAAGGAAGAATGAGGGAATTTCGGGGGGGTGAGGGCGACAGAGTTAAGGTGTTCAGTGCTTTTATTTTTGTCCTACACATGGTAGCAACCGAGTGCTCTGCGAAATAGCAGTGACCCGTTATTCCAGAGTCAGGGACTGTTCTTGGCACTCGAAGTGGAATGTTGAAGTGGAAGTTTTGCCTCCCAGAGGATTTCCGTTCCAGCTAGTGTCTGTGTCGCTGTGAAGACATGGAGGAAGGGTGAATGCCATTTATGCAGGAGATTCTAGAACACTCGGTTAAGACCATCTGTTGATGGGTCTGGGGAGAAGGGAAGGACACACTTCTGTGTTTGTGGCTATTTGCTGCTAGGCAGCTTGTTGATACTCCAACTCTTCTGTAGTTGTAGACTTGGCCATAGAATGAAGAATGTAAAAAAGATATTTGGGCTGGGCACGGTGGCTCACGCTTGTAATCCCAGCATTTTGGGAGGCCAAGGTGGGTAGATCACGAGGTCAGGAGTTCGAGACCAGCCTGACCAACATGGCAAAACCCCGTCTTTACTAAAAATACAAAAATTAGCCGGGTGTGGTGGCACATGCCTGTAATCCCAGCTACTTGGGAGGCTGAGGCAGGAGAATTGCTTTAACCTGTGAGGCAGAGGTTGCAGTGAGTGGAGATCCTGCCACTGCACTCTAGCCTGGGTGACAGAGCTAGACTCTGTCTCAAAACAACAAGTAAAAATAAATATTTTTGTAGTTATTAGTTTATTAAACTGTAATTTTCTTATTTCTGTAGGAGATAATTATGTATTTAGAATGGTCTTGAAGGGACATCATGACATCTAGAGAGGTCGTTTGAAGCTACAAGGTCTGGGACATGGAATTTGTCTTTTATAAGCCCTGGCACCTTCTAAGGTGTCTCACTTGCAGACCCCAGGGAAGCCATTCAGCTTTCTGATTCTGTGGTGGTTTCTGTTCCCTCCACGGAGGTTCCTGGCTCCATCTCTCTGTGAAGCCCTGTCAGGGTTCTTTCACTTTCCTTGTTTGTCTCCTTTTTCTCCTGATTGCCTGAAATCACATTACAACTCTCTTGTATCATCTTTATCCATGTGCCACAGCTCTTTTTTTTTTTTTTTTTTTTTTGAGACAGAGTCTCGCTCTGTCGCCCAGGCTGGAGTGCAGTGGCGCAATCTCGGCTCACTGCAAGCTCCGTCTCCTGGGTTCACACCATTCTCTTGCCTCAGCCTCCCAAGTAGCTGGGACTACAGGCACCCGCCACTGTGCCCGGCTAATTTTTTTGTGTGTATTTTTAGTAGGGACAGGTTTTCACTGTGGTCTCGATCTCCTGACCTCATGATCCACCCTTCTTGGCCTCCCAAAGTGCTGGGATTACAGGCATGAGCCACCGCGCCTGGCCCATAGCTCTTAAAAAATAGGGATAAATTATAGACAGAACAGCCAAATGAGAACTTTCTTGATTCCCTCTCTTCTTGCATGGTGGTTGTATTAGTCAGTTCTCATGCTGCTAATAAAGACATATCCAAGACTGGATAATATATATAGAAAAAAAGGGTTTAATGGACTCACAATTCCACATAGCTGGGGAAGCCTCACAATTATGGCAGAAGGCAAAGGAGGAGAAAGGCACGTCTTACATGGTGGCAGGCAAGAGAGCTTGTGCAGGGCAACTTCCCTTTATAAAACCATCAGATCTTGTGAGACTTACTCACTATCAGGATACCAGTATGAGGAGAACTGCCCCCATGATTCAATGGTCTCCACCTGGCCCCACCCTTGACACATGGGGATTATCATAATTTTAGGTGAGATTTGGTTGGGGACACAGCCAAACCATATCAGTTGTCCACCCACACGGAACTCACCTTCCTAACCCATGAAATGCAAAAATGCCTAATACTTCAGTGTTAGGGATATGAAAAGACAGAAAAAATATTTCCTCTCTTCCCCTAGGAAGCTGACTTGTGCATGCACAAATAGGACAAGAGATTAAACCAGGAAGGCACGAAAAAGCCCCTGACTACTTCAGTCAAATTATAGCTTACTGTGGTATCTTTCAGAGCATATGAATAATTGTGAATTGGCCTATGATCTTTGGGCCAGTGGAAGAGAATAATATTAGGGATGAATATTTTCTCTTCTCATCTCATCTAAACTCTCAGGAGATGTTATCCAACAACCATGCCAAGATTCTTGGAGGAACAGAACAGCCATTGAAGATGTTGTAGTGATAACGTCACATTTTCTGCCCCCTCAAACCCAAAGTCCCCATGGTCTTAACGGTTTGCTTCTAAGTTAGAACCATCACCTTATTCCACCAACATCAGTATGGTTTTCTTGTGTAGAAAGGCTTCTAAAAAAATGGGCAAAGGACATGAATAGACACTTCTTGAAAGAAAACATACACATGGCCAACAAGCATATGGAAAAATGCTCAATATCATTAATTATTAGGGAAATGCAAATCAAAACCACAACGAGACACCATCTCACACCAGTCAGAGTGGCTATTCTAAGAAATTCACAAAATAACAGATGCTGGCGAGGTTGTGGAGAAAAGAGAATGCTTAAACACTGCTGGTGGGAATGTAACTTAGTTCAGCCACTGTGGAAAGCACTCTGGAGATTTCTGAAAGCACTTAAGTTAGAACTACCATTCAACTCAACAGTCCCTTATGGGCAATACCCAAAGGAATAGAAATCATTCTACCTTAAAGACACATGCACGTGTGTGTTCACCACAGCACTATTCATAATAGCAAAGGCATGGAATCAACCTCAATGCCCATCAACAGCAGACTGGATAAAGGAAATGTGTTACACATACACCATGGAATACTACGCAGCCATTAAAAAAAAAAAGCAAGATCATGTCCTTTGCAGCAACATGGATGTATGTCCCTGGAGGCCATCCTAAGCAAACTAATGCAGGAACAGAAAACCAGATGCTGCATGCTCTCACTTAGAAGTGGGAACTAAATAGTGAGTACAAATGGACATAAAGATGGGAATCATAGACACGGGGGCCTACTTGAGAGTGGATGGTGGAAAGAAAGTAAGGATTAAAAAACTACCTATCAGGTACTAGGCTAATTATCTGGGTGACAAAATTATCTGTACATCAAATTACTCTGACACCCTGACACATATGTATCTCCTCCTTCTCCCCACAAAAAAATCTAATAAAATTCTTCAAAAGATGTGGAAATGTTAGTAACATTGCTTTCGACAATTTTTGAATCAAAGTGGTTTATGTTTTGGCTCATTTCCCAGTTGTTTCCTGATAGTTTTGGGTAAAACAAAGGAAATATGGACACGAGTGATTATATTTTTTAATAATGGAGTTAGGTAAATAAACTTCCTTTGGTGATTGAAAGACTCACTCCAGGCCGGGCGTGGTGGCTCACGCCTGTAATCCCAGCACTTTGGGAGGCAGAGGCGGGCGGATCACAAAGTCAGGAGATCGAGACCATGGTGAAACCCTGTCTCTATTAAAAATTCAAAAATATTAGCTGGGCGCGGTGGCGGGTGCCTGTAGTCCCAGCTGCTCGGGAGGCTGAGGCAGGAGAATGGCATGAACCCGGGAGGCGGAGTTTGCAGTGAGCCGAGATTGCACCACTGCACTCCAGCCTGGGCGACAGAGCGAGACTCTGTCTCAAAAAAAAAAAAAAAAAAAAAAAAAAAAAAGACTCACTCCAGTGCAATTCCTAAATTCTGTAGGCTCTCCGTCCCTTCTAGAAGGATATTCTGGTTCCCCCATCCATTCAGTTTACGAGTCAAATTTGCACAGGCATGTATGCTTATGTGTGCTTAACATATTGGCAGTAGGTCAATAAATGTGCTCTAAACTCACGTAATATCCCTGTTTGCTTGTCATAACAGACACATATATACTGGAGTTCTCTTTAGTACTATCCAATTCGCTGGTATTTGGGTTGTTTCACTTGGAGACCTTGGAGCCTTCACAATGAACACATGGTAACTTTTTTTTTTTTTTTTTAATGAGGCAGTGAGCTGCGGACCAAGTAGATTTAAGAAGGAAAAAGGAATTAATGAAGGTCTTCAACTTCTCAACTCTTCATTGGCACACTCAACTAAAAACTGGAGCTCAAATAACTATTTGCTCTGGTTGGCACCTTTCCTTTTGCTAAAAGAATGGCAAAATGCCCCTCCATTCTGCTTTGAAAACTTTTTATTATGGGAAACTCAAACATAACCAATAGTAGACAGAATATATAGTGAACTTCATATGCTCGTTACCCGACTTCAGCCATGAGCTGTTCAAAGCCATCCTTGTTTAATCAATATTACCACCCTCGTTTTCCAGACTCTATTGCTTTGAAGGAACTCTTAGACATCATTTCATTTCATCTGTAAATATTTTAGTATGTGTCTGTAAAAGATAATTCTGCACATGTGTGTGTAGAATAATTGCCAAGCTCTGGTATTTAAAGAGGGTCTTTGTTTACGAAATGATTTCTACAACGTGGAGCCAAAAATGGATTTAAAAAATACCCTTCTAGGGGAAGTTAAATGCAATGTATCTTCTTCTATCTCCTCAAAAATTTGTTGAATGAATAAAAACCAAAATTAGATCAGCACCCCTCTTCCTCTCCAAACAAAAGCAAAACAAGAAAAAGGAATACTTTTTATATTTTAAATGATGTCTTGGGAACGGAAAATTTGCATTTCTCTTCCCTTAGTAGAACCAGAATGAACGTTAGATTTAAATGTAGTAGGTTTGGGTTTGACTGTGGTGGTGAAAATGGCTTTGTGTTACTGAATAGCTGTAGCTGCCCCATATTTTGCATTTTCAGATGTCCAGTCAAGTGAGCACTAATCCTTAGTGTCCACAACAGGAACGTTCCCGCTCTGCCCCTGATACGAGCTTGGATGGCCATGAGGCCCGAGGAAGTTCACTGATTGCCTTAGGTGAATTGATTCCATGCTAATACTGGAGTACTCTTTGTAATGGCTTTTCTGTAGAGACATATTAGGAGTAGAAAACATGGAGGTGCCCTCTGCTGCTTCACATTTCACGCTGCAGAAAAGATGAGCTTGTTCTGTCCTGGGTGCTTTGAAACTGGCATTTGGTTCTATAGAGTGCTCCTGGTTATCTGCATGGGCTTTGTTTTTCAGCTGGAGTGATTGTTAAATCAAGTCATGCTCTTCCCCAGACATGCCTTTAGTTTCTGTGTACCCCAAAGAATCCCTGCAGTTTCTGTCCCAGTTACTTTGTTTGTTAATTTTCTAGCTTTTTTTTTTTTTTTTTAAGTCAATGACTGCTGGGACCTCGCACTGGTTGGCAGTGTGCTCCCATCTGCTCTCTTCAAGCTGAGGTCACAGACGGGCTCCTAAGGACGTGACACCTCATCTAGTGATACTCAGAAGCTATTGTTTTGCAGTATTTTTTTTTTTTTTTTTTTTTGAGATAGGTTCTTGTTCTGTTGCCCGGGCTGGAGTGCTTTGGCAGGATCATCATGGCTCACTGCAGCCTCCACTTCCTGGGCTCAAGCCATCCTCCTGCTTTGCTTGAGCCTGTTGGTTGTAACATTGAGAGACAAAATAACCTGGGAAGAGTGCAGAGTGCATGCAGGACTGACTTAGAAAGGTTGTGTTAGCTGGGGAATGGGGATGGAGCAGACTTAGAAGCAGATGTGAAGCATCTTAAAAACAACTACAGTTGACCCTTGAACAACACGAATTTGAAGTGTGTGAGTCACTTATACGTGGCTTTTCTTTGCCTCTGCCACCCACGAGACAGCAAGACCAACTCCTCCTCCTCCTCCTCACCTACTCAGCATGAAGATGAGAGGATGAAGACCTTTACGATCATCCGCTTCCACTGAATGAATGCTAAATATATTTTCGCTTCCTTTTGATTTTCTGAATAGCATGTCTTTTCTCTAGCTTACTTGTTGGTAAGAATACTGTACATAATGCATAGAACATACAAGCGTAACAAATCCCAAAATGCTGGGATTGAGGCCGGCCCCTGATGGATCCCCACCGACTGTGGCTGTCTCAGGAACCTGCATGGCTTTCACTTGCACACTCATGCCCCGTCAGACCTGTGTGAATTGGTTAGTGTTAAGGCCCTAAGCACTCATTTGCGTAATGAGAGTCTTTCACTTAGAAACTAGCTCATCCTGCTGACCCTCTGGGCCAGCATTTAGCATCTGTACCTGGAGCCTCGGCTGTGGGAACTCTGGCCACCGGTCTAGGCATTATCATGAGGGGAGCCCTGTTAGAACAGAGGATTCTCAAAGGCTTATTTCTTCCCTCTGACAGTCATGAAGTGGGTTACATTCATGTAAGTTGGAGGAGATTTATTCAGTGCTTGCTCTGAATGACGAAGTTGGCCTGTCTAAGGGAAGCTCAGATGCCATGGAATGCAGTTCCCAGCCCACTTCAGTCCCTGTGAAATCTGTCAGCGGATGCCTTTTAAGGATGCAGTCTAATTTGTGGAGAGTAAGATATAAGGCTTAGGGGTGATGAAGATCACAGCTCTGAATTGAAGCAGATTTTAGAGCTATTAGAATCCTATGCAGTGCACCTATCAAAACATACATTTCTGATGAAAGAAATTTTATTCCGAAGTCAAATTATAGTTGTTTCAAAATAGGAAGAAAAGAAGTATCTTCAGCTCTTAGCATTTTTCTGATGTTAAGAACATATCCATTTATTTTTGCCCTAAAGAGAAGTTACAAAGCATCCAACTCCTTTGTGTGGAATTGATTTGAGTAAGTGTGAAGCAAAAAGCCAATTCAGTTTTATCGAAACTTATTTGTTTTCATTAAAAAGCCAATATTTATTTATTTATTCATTTATTTATTTATTCATCGAGATGGAGTCTCGCTTTGTTGCCTAAGCTGGAGTGCAGTGGCGTGATCTCTGCTCACTGCAACCTCCGCCTCCCGGGTTCAAGTGATTCTTCTGCCTCAGCCTCCTGAGTAGCTGGGACTACAGGTACCTGTCATCATGCCTGGCTAATTTTTGTATTTTTAGTAGAGACGGGGTTTTGCCGTGTTGGCCAGGCTGGTCTCGAACTCCTGACCTCAGATGATCTGCCCACCTCAGCCTCCCAAAGTGGTAGGATTACAGGTGTGAGCCGCTGTGCCTGGCCGCCAATTCAGTTTTAAATAGAAGATTTGAAATTAAGCAAGCGTCCTGTACCTGAACAGCAGACATTACCCTGAAGAGCCTGTTGGTTGTAACATTGAGAGACAAAATAACCTGGGAAGAGTGCAGACTGCATGCAGGACTGACTTAGGGAGGATGTGTCCGCTGGGGAATGGGGATGGAGCAGACTTAGAAGAAGATGTGAGCATCTTGAAAACAACTTCAGTTAACCCTTGAACAACACGAGTTTGAACTACGTGAGTCATTTATACGTGAGTCATTTATACATGGGTTTTCTTCTGCTTCTGCCACCCCTGAGACAGCAAGACCAACTCCGCTTCCTACTCCTCCTCACCTATGTAGTGTGAAGATGATAAGGGTGAAGACCTTTATGATGATCCACTTCCGCTTAATGAATACTAAATATATTTTTGCTTCCTTATGATTTTCTTAATAGCATTTTCTTTTCTCTAGCATACTTGACGATAAGAGTACCGCACATAATACATAGAACATACAAAATATGTGTTCATCAACTGCTATCAGTAAGGCTTCAGGTCAACAGTAGTGTTTTGGTAGTTAAATTTTGGGGGAGTCAAAATTTATATGCAGATATTTGACTTTTGGGGGATTCAGTGGAAAAACTAGAATTTCAGTTTTACAGGGTCAATTGTAATTCCAGTGAAGTTCATGCACATTTTACTTATTTTTTGAGGTATGGCAGAAGTGATTCTCTTAGGGCAAATGTGGTCTGTGTGAGATGAATTGATTTTCCCTCTTGGTGAATTTCCTCACTGGTTAGCCCAGAGCAGGACAAGGCAACTTATTGTTATTTTTCCCCTTAGCTACTGTCATTTCTGTACCGTGGAAGACAATGAGAGCTGTTGGTTTGGTTTAGGAGGTCACATGTGTGGAGGGCTGGGTTAGCATGGATAGTGGAGACATCAAAGTGTTAAAGACCTCAGTGAAAAGCTCTGAGTTAGCAGATGTGCAGCAGAGTTTGCTGTGAGGTGAGGACAAGCTGTGTTTTGGGGGCCAGGCTGGCAAGGATTGGTGCTCCAGAAAGTATTTGAAGATTAATTTGAATTGAACTGGAAACATGACTCATTGTGGTCCAAGTGTTATAGACTGAATCTGCCATTTTCGTCTTCAGTTGATTCCAGGGCAGGTACAGAGGGCCTGATAGAAGATGGAACAGGAGCTCTTATGGTCTTGGGTGCCTGTGTTATTATCCATTCTCACACTGCTACAAAGAAATACCCAGGACTGGGTAATTTATAAAGAAAAGAGGTGTAATTGGCTCACGATTCCACAGGATGTACAGGAAGCATGGCTTGGGAGGACTCAGGAAACTTACAATCATGGTGGAAGGCGAAGGGGAAGCAGGCATGTCTTACGTGGGCTGGAGAAAGAGGAAGAGAGAGAAGGGGGAGGTGCCGCACACTTTTAAACAACCAGATCTCATGATAACTCACTTTTACCATGACAAGACCAAGGAGGATGGCGTTAAACCATTAGAAACTGCCTGCACGATCCAGTCACTTCTCACTGGGCTCTGCCTTCAACACTGAGGATTACAATTGTACATGAAATTTGGGTGGGGACACAGATCCAAACCATATCAAGGTGGAACCTTGGAATAGAATGAAATGATGCTCTTGCAAAGAAACCCTGTCCTCATGCAGGGGAGCAGCCTACGTTTTCTATCTTTGGGCCTAATAGCAGCGGCTTTGAACAGATATCCATACGTTTAGTAGGACATTTGACTACCATGGCATTTTGCATCCTTGTAAGCTTTCATCTAAACCACAGTTTTATGAAAGATTCTCTCAGGAATAGAGACACTCCCTCATTAAATCACTGTACATATTAAGTCAGTGCACACAGTAAGTCATGGTGCATCATATCAATGAAAAGAAATGGGCTATTTTATTCTTTTCATTGGGTTAAATCTTACTGGTGACAGAAAGTACTCCAACAGTTGATACTGTAAATAGTTGGGTCTAATGGTACGTTGCCTGGCTTGGTTCTCTGAGTTTTTCTCATTGAATACCCTCTGTCTCTGTTCTGTCTTCACGCACTTTATTCCTGATCCTCAGTTTTCTCTCAGCTGTTCTGCTAAAATTGCATGTTCTGGTCTCCAGCAGTTCTCTTAGTGTGAAACTCAGTGGCCTTTCCCTGTTAACCTTCTCATAAATTTGTTACATTTTTCATTTGATTACTCCCTCAGTTCCCCCAATGTTAGTTCCCTAGTCATTCACTATCCGGATCTCTCTGATTGATTGATTGATTGATTGATTGATTGATTGAGACAGGGTCTCCCTGTGTCACCTAGGCTGTAATGCAGTGGCATGATCATAGCTCACTGCATCCTTGAACTCCTGAGCTCAGTGATCCTCCCGCCTCAGCCTTCCCAAGTGCTGGAGTTACAGGTTTGAGCCACTGTGCCCAGCCTTATCCTGATATCTCATTACATCTCATTTCCAGTGATTCTTCATTCTTCTGCCTCATTTTAATTTGCTCATATGATGCAAGATAAATAAAACATTCTCCAAAAGTTGCCTTGAAGTTTGGTGGTGTGGCTCTGCCATGAAGACCCATGAGTGTTGATTTTCTTAGGCAAGCCAGTCTAGAAATTTTGCGGTCAGCTGTGGGCTTTTACTATCTGTAAAACTCTTGCAGGAGCCAAGTATTACTATTGTATCCAGAGAGAATCCTAGCTAATTCTAGTGTAAAGAAATCAGTGAGGAGAAAAGTAAAACATAATTATGCAGGAAAGTAGGCTTTTATGACTCAATTAACATATTTTACAGCGTTTTATTACTTCAAGGCAATATTTAATTTACAAATGATTTAAGATTTTAAAAACTGTTGGAACTGAGTTAAGATGGGTGGAAATATTAAGTACTTCAGTTTTTCTGTGCTGCCTGATACTTTGTACTAGCCAGTAAAATATTTGTTAAAGAAGTGTTTGTCCTTCCTTTGAGGTATTTTCTTTTTTTTTCTTTTTAGTGGCTGAGTCTATTGGAAGGGCCTTAGTTATACATCATGCCATATGGTATTAGTGACAAAAATATTTTGAGGATAGATTTAATAACTAAAACAATTAGGTTAGAAGGCCATTGTGAGAACGCTTGGCCAGTTGCTTTCAGATTTAATCCTTTGTTACGTTACAGTCCACAGAATGTAGTGTCTTTTGCCTGAGATACAGAAAGTGTTATTTCTGATGTGGATTGGATTTTGGCTCATTTAGAGGACGTCACCAATCCTATACAACAGAGCAGGATGGATTTCTTTTCTAAGTTAATATGAAGTGTTCTGTGCAATTTATGTATATGGTTGTGTGTGTGTGTGTGTGTGTGTGTGTGTGTGTGTGTGTTTCTGTTTCTGTTTCTGAATATCTTTTAAGGTGTTACTTTTTTGAGAAAGAGAAATTTATTGGACGTTTTAATTGTGGTGGTCTGCAGATTCTCCATAGCAACCGGGGGTGCAGGCTTACTCCAGAAGCAAGTAGCAGTTGGGGTCACCAAGTAATGCTGTTCTATAGATTATACCGGTGAGCTGCGTCTGCATTTGATGCCTCCTAAGATAGTGTGATATAGTTGGATTGTAAGAAGTTGGGTCATGGTTTTTGTTTGGATTTTAAAAATTGTCAAATAGACATAACATACAATTTGCAATGTGGACCAGTTTTAACTGTACAGTTTGGTGGCATTAATTATATTCACGTTGTCGTGCAGCCATCACCATGGGCCGGAGTGCTTTCCTCTCCCCCATTGGAAACTCTCTACATGTTGAACGTGGTTCCCAGTCCTTACCCCCTTCTCTGGGCAACCACCGTTCTGTTTTCTCTTTCTATGAATTTGACCACTATAGAAAAAGATCAGTTTCTCCCAAACTTTGCCTAAATCCCCAAATAGATTCCTTTTCCCCCCTCCGGCTTCTTTTGAACATTAAAGCATCCTGGTGATTTATGCTCCCGCCTCAATTCCTCCCTAGCTTCTGTCTGGCTGTGTCAGGCCTGTTTCAGGTGTTAATTTCTGTGATCATTTCCCTGGTAAACTCCTGGATGGCAGGTTCTAGGTTTTATTCCTGTCGTCCTGGAACTTCACGCTTGTCTCTGATGCAGTGCAGGCCTCAGCTCCGTAGGGAGGTTAACAAATGAAGCTGAGTTCCGCAAGGCAGCCCAAAGCACTCGAGTTACAATTGCAGACAGTGGGAAACGGCAAGTCAGAGGAAGAGCGCTGGGACACTGGGCCGGGTCTGCGTTAGTGGGTTTGTCAAGAGCCACGGAAATCCTTTTACCCTGCCTCTCATGGAATAATGCTTTAGTTAATGTCTGTATCGGTGACAGGTCCCGCTTTTAATGAGCAGCTCACTTATAAGGTCTGAGTATGATCAGGAACCTTTAGGAACAAACACTCTGTTGTGGTCCTGGTTGTGGGACTCAGGGACACAGTGTTCTAGTCCCCGTTTAATGACACTTCTCGTTTCCTGTATTGTTCCATTTTGGTACAGTTAAGGATTGGGAGCTAATTCCAAAGAGGTTTCGTTAGCTGTGATGGGGAGCTGATGAAGAGGCAGCCTCTTAGACACGGAAGGCAGCACACAGCAGGCCGAACTGTGTGTCTGAGCATCAGGCTCCTGGTGGTGGCTTTGGCTGTGTCACTGGGAAGGTGGAGGGGGTGGCCTCTCGGAGGCTGCACGGTGGGTTTCTGAGCCTGGTTCTCCAGGCCAGGTGGATGTGACGGTGCCTGGCTGTCAGCGGCCAGGCCGGCTGTGGATGACGCTTGCCTTTTTCCTCTTGATAGACCATCATGTTGCTCCCATCGTCAGCAATGAGTTGTCGTGTCCTGAGATGAACTCCCTGTTGTCGGAGGCAGGGGAAGAGCCGTCGCGTAGCACATCCGGTGTGTGTGTCTGCTTTGTCAGGCCCACTTCACAAAATACGTTTGAAATATGAAGTTTCCCCAGATAAACTGTGAAGGGTGAAGAGTGCTTTAGATGTGTGCTTTCCCCAGATTTTATTTACTTATTTGTTCCCAAACTCATTTCCTGCCTTCCCGTGTTTCTGCAACACCAGCGCTTCCTAGTGTGAGCCTTAAAGAAAGACGATATTTAACAAAAGAAGAAGGGGAGGAAGGAAAGAAAGCGGGAGTGGGGGAGAGAGAAAGCGGGGAGGCCCTGTGGGGAGCTGGGGTGGGGAGGCCTTGCGGGGTGTTGGGGAGAGAGAGAGAGAGAAAGCGGGGAGGCCGTGTAGGGAGTGGGGGAGAGAGAGAAAGCTATGTGAAAGGTGAGTCAATGAAAACTTTTGCATTTATAAATTACCCAGTCTCCAGTATGTCTTTATTAGCAGCGTGAGAAAATACTAATACACCCCATCTCTACCAAAAAAAAAAAAATTAGCTAGGCATGGTGGCACACACCTGTGGTCCCAGCTACTCGGGAGGCTGAGGCAAGAGGATTGCTTGAGTCTAGGAATTCGAGGTGGTAGTGAGCTATGATCATGCCACTGCACTCCAGCCTGGGTATCAAAGTGAAACCCTGTCCCTTAAAAAAAAAAAAAAAAGGTAAGCCTCAAAGTTATCCTCATCCACCAGATATTTACTAGGTGCCTGTAATATGCCAGGCATTATGGTGTGTCCTTAAACCTTTATTTGAAGAAGTTATTGGGCTCAAAAGATATCTGAATTTTTCTACCCATATTTTATTTGTGCTAGTCTTCTATTTTTCCTTATCTCTCAAGTTGATAAAGCTCTCATGAAGCTAAAGTATGATCAGAAAAACTTGTTTCTGGCAAGGCGCAGTGGCTCACACCTATAATCCCAGCACTTTGGGAGGCCAGGGTGGGCGGATCACCTGAGTTCAGGAGTTTGAGACCAGCCTGGCCAAGATGGAGAAACCCCATCTCTACTAAAAGTACAAAAATTAGCTGGGCGTGGTGGTGTGCGCCTGTAATCCCAGTTACTCGGGAGGGTGAGGCAGGAGAATCACTTGAACCCAGGAGGCGGAGGTTGCAGTGAGCTGAGATCATGCCACTGCACTCCCGCCTAGGCAACAGAGCAAGAGTCCGTCTCAAAAACAAAAAAAGAAAAACCTCATCTCCATTAGACTCACTGTGTAATTTCTCTTTGGCCTATTCTGAGTTCCTTTGTTAAGGCTTCCAAGGTGCTGCCTGCACCCAGTGCTGTGCTGTGAATAGTGACCTCAGACTGGTTCTCTATTTGTGTGTTTGTTCTTGCAATTCTGTCATGGACATTAATGGAAATATTTAGGTTTTAGTGAAATAATTTTTTTTTCCTAGGAGAATGAAATCAATGGGCCCAGTAGACTTGTTTTCACTTTGGCTTGTTTTAATAAAAAGCATTTTTATAAGCTGGGTCGGGGAGGAAGTGAACATTGTAAAAATTTCTCAAACATTTGTTATTTTACAAGCGCAAATAAATATGTCTGTTTAATTTAAAAAGTTAACTTATTGAACAATTCCTTTTTCTGCACCTTCCCTCCCCAGTTAAGGCAAACTATTAAAGAATATGCATAAATAGTAGAGCTTTTAATTGCTATTGATGAATAGCACCCTTTTGCATGTCTTTTATGTCAAGCCTTGGGTGAGCCCTGTTTTTGTCTTATTAACACACATTCGTAGCGTCTTCTCTCATTTGGATGTAGATTTAGATGCTCTCTTAGCCACTCTTCTCAGCCTTATTGAAGTTCATCCACTGAAACACTTGCAAGAAACAGAATAAAGTAGAAAAGTCTCAGCTGTAGAAACCTACAATAAACTGCAGTTACACACAGAAACCCAGTGGCTCATTGGTACCAAGAGCCAATACCAGTAGCCTCCATAGGTGACCATCACTCCGCAGATGACTTCGGCGGTAGATGACCTGTAGGTCTGGAAGAGCTGTAACCATTCACCTTTCCTTTTTTTTTTTTTTTTTTTTTTGAGACAGAGTCTCATTCTGTTGCCCAGGAGACTGTAGTGCAATGGTGTGATGATCTCGGCTCAGTGCAACCTCTGCCTCTGAGCTTCAAGCGATTCTCATGCCTCAGCCTCCTGAGTTGCTGAGAATACAGGGGCGCACCACCACGCCCGGCTAATTTTTGTATTGTTTTTTTCAGTAGAGACAGGGTTTCACCATGTTGACCAGGCTGATTTTGAACTCCTGACCTCAGGTGAACCGCCTGCCTTGGCCTCCCAAAGTGCTGGGATTACAGGAGTGATGCGCACAGGGTCCCATGTGAAGCCCAAGTCATGCTTCTCTGGGTGTCAGTCACTTCATCTGTGACTTGAGTGGATGTGACTAGCTTGCAAGTTCTCAGTGTTGGGGGCGCAGGAAGAGAGGAAGGATCTTTACCACCACAGTGGACAGGGCGGCAGTGGTGGGTGCAGGAGACAGGTGCTCTTCTGAAAAGTTCTGCATGTGGGGATGCCTTTTAGTCTCTGATCCTCTCCTGGGAAGATGCCTGGGTTTAATGAACTAAAATGACTTTCCGACTCTGACATCCTGTCTTTATAAGGTAAAGACCATTAGATTCAAGAGCATAATTGGATAGATATGTTTAAAGGTTGTCTTTCAGGATTATTGTGCTGATCACAGTTTTCACCTGGCTTTCCTGTCCCAGTGGATAGTGAGAATGATTTCCCTATTAAAAAATTACCCATCAACAGACTCCTGGTTAGACAGTGTGTTGAGAATTAATGGTGTGTGCCATCGAGTGATGAAAGGCAGAGAGAAGGTCTTAGCCTATGGGGGAATTCTGAGCTAGAACTCACAGTGTAATTTTTCCTTCTTTACAATGACATGGTTTATAATGAAGCCTTGGTAGGCTGGAGGACTTGTGTCAGAATACAAGTACCAAAGAAGTCACAGAGGAATATTAACTGAGAAGGCTTTTAAGAAAGAAGAAAATACCTATCCTTGTGCTAGGCCAGGCATTGAGGGAGGGACAGAGGCCTGGCTGCATCAAGGTGTCCTGACCTGCCTTGGAGCTGGACAGTAGCTGGGCTTGAAGATGACCGCAAACTGCTGCCTGTCCCCCTTCCAGGGAGGACGCTACCATGGGATGGATTAGACAGGGGAAAAAGCATCAGAAGTCAGATGAGAGACCTTGTCTTTGTTCCTCTGTTTCCTGACAGCAGCAAAGATTTTGATCAGAGGTGGTTTTTGTGGAGGTATAATAGCAAAAATTAAAGAACCACATCTGACTTGGGAAGGGGCATATTATATGGGAAGTGAGAGAGAGGGAGTGATGGGGGATAGAGAGAGATGGGAGGAAGAGAGGAGCAGAGAGAGAGGAAGAAAGAGAGAGACAGGGAGCTGGAACTGCTTTAGCTAAGGTGGCTTGGTGGAGTTTTTCTTGCTTGTATAATTATGGTGATTATTAATTTAAAGCTTGTCCTTCCCAAGTGATGCAAGTACCTGCTCCTGGGCCATCCTGTGCTAAGGTTGCATTGCTGAACGGATGACAGGGTGGGTGGTGTATGTCCCTAAGGCCACCAGAGATGGTTTACTCAATTCACATGCTTCCTCCACCTGGGATGAAAGCGGTTAATTAATGTTTGATTCTAAGAAGTCAGGTGATGTGATTCAGATTAGTTATGGGGTTGTGCTGAAGCGCGGGTGGACCCTAGGAGGTGATTTTAACGGAAGTCTCAAAATAGCAGCCTTGGAACTAGTTGGACTAGTTATTTTTAAAAATAATGAGAAATGTTATAAAGTCGGCTGAAGGTATTGATTTACCTTTCAGGTTGTTCAGAAACAGAATCTTGAGAAATAGCCTGCTACACAGTTGTAAGGGGGATAATAAAGAGATCCCCCTTCTCTAAAAAACGTTTACAACCCAATCTTTGGGCAGCCGAGATTTTTAGCAGCCGAGAAGGGTTCCCAGGGGCCACAGGTTGTCTTAGACCATCTCCATCAGTTCCTAGAAATCGTGCAAAGGGTTTCTTCAGGGGTTTCTGAGGCCTGTAACCATGGTATTAAAATCTGACTCTAGAATTCTTTGACATTTCTTGCATTGAGGGGTGAGACCCATGTTCTCTGTCCTTGAATCTGGGTGGCTTTGTTTGGGACTGTTGGATCCAATAGGGGACAGCCCGAGTGACCTCGGGTGACTTCCAAGGCTGAGTGAGAGAAGGTGACACAGCTGCCACCTCATTTGCTGGAACCCTTGTCCTGGGCACCTGAGTCATGGGGGAACAAATGTGGTTCCATGCTGTGAGGCCGCCATGCTGCATGGAGAGGCCATGTATAGGCGCTGTGGCCAGCAGTCCCGGCCTTCCCAGCCAAGGCCCCGGTTATTGTGGAGCAGAGACGAGCCTGCCTTGCTGTGTTCCATCTGGATTTCTAACCGAGGAATCTGTGAGCATCAGCAAATGGTGTTTTGGCCCCTGGGCGCTAGGGCAGTTTGTGACCCAGCAGAGGTACCTGCAGCAGCAGCAGCACCTCCTCTCTCCCTCCAGCTCATGCTCTTTGCAGAACTCACCACACACATTTCCTCAGTTCCCTCACCGCTTTTGTGGTTGTGGGGATGTCTTTAGCACCCGTGCTGTGCTGCGCTGATGGCTGCTGAGGACTGGACGCCAGTACCTAAGCTCGGCTCGTGAGAACCTCCGTGCAGGAAGGGGCCCCTAGAGCCAGAACAGAGGCTCTTCCTTCTGCTTCCAGCCTTGGGTAAAAACACACGCCAGGCGTCATTGACATCATTGTCATCATCATCACCATCATTCACTGTTGGTCTTTTCCATCTGTCCGCTGTCATTTTAGCCTCAGCCATGACATTTCTTAGTCCGTGAAATGCTACTGAGATTGTACTGTTATTTGAGGTAGTTCTTTTGGATTTTATTAACCCCAGTATATCTGTTGCTTACAAAATAACGAGCCACATGCTCATACAATGGCAGTGAAGGTTCTATATCTGGCAGCCTCATGTGAATTCAGGAGCCGGCAGGGAATTTAGGGGAGAAGTAAGGCAAGCTCTCAAGTTTTCCAAGCCGCATGGGCTGCTTGGATCTCACAAGTAATGCCTGGATTTAAATCACTGGGGAAGGCAGCCTTCTGCTCCTGTATAGTAGAAATGGGTCCCAGTCTTGAGAGGCTGCAAGTTTAAGCTTTTCTTAGTCACCTTGTTCTTACACTTTTTTTTGGTACAAATGTATTTGTACACAGAGAGACTTTTGCATTTTAAGCATAAAAGAAAGGATGACCTCAGAAAGTGAGTTCCATCTGGGACTATTATTATTTCAGCACTTACTTTATCAAAGAGGAAATTGTTTTATGTAGACTCCTACAGTGGGACAGCCATGTGCCAAAAATTAAAAGTGGATTAACACATTATATAAAAATTAACTCAACAGATTATAGATCTAGATGTAAAACATAAAGCTGTAAAACGTTTAGAAGAGGACATGGGATTTGTGGGTTGGGATTAGGCAAGAGTTCATAGACATGAGAACAGACAACAAATTGATAAAGTGGACTTCATCAAAATGAAAAATTTCCTGTGTGAAGGACACTTAAAAGAATGAAATGTCAAAGGACAAATACAGACTGAGAGAAAATATTTTCAAATCACATACCTGACAAAGCTCTTGTTGTATCTAGAATAAAATGGACTCTTAAAACTCAACAGGAAGGAAAAATAATCCAATTACAAATGGAGAAAAGACTTAAAAAGACACTTCACCAAAGAAGATATACAGATGGCAAATAAGCAGATGCAAAGATGTCGGTATTATTTGCATTAGAGAATTGCAAATTAGAGCCACAGTCAATATTACTACACACCTATTATAATTAGTAACATAAAAAACTGACAATATCAAGTGTCGACAAAGGATGTGGAGGCACTGGAACTCTTGTATGTTGCTAGTGGTGTGATCCCATGCAAAATGGGAAAGCCAATTGGGAAAACAGTTTGGCAGTTCTTACAACTTTAAACATACACCCACCATACAACCCAGCAATTGTACTCCTGGGTATTTAACCTTGAGAGATGAAAACTTACGTTCACATAAAACCTGGGTAAGATGTTTATAGCAGCCCTATTCATAGTTGCCAGAAAGTGGAAACAGCCCAGGTGTCTTTAAGCAGTGAATGGACAAATGACAAACAGATTCATTCAGGTAATGAAACTGGCTCAGCAAAAAAGTTGAAAGAACTATTGATACAACCATGGAGAATAATCTTGAAGGCATCATGCTGGGGGCAAAATACTAGTCTCAAAGGTTGCATGCTGTTAGATTCCATTTATATGACGTTCTTTTTTTTTTTTTTTTGAGTTAGAGTCTCGCTCTGTCTCCCAGGCTGGAGTGCAGTGGCATGATCTCAGCTCACTGTAACCTCCATCTCCTGACTTCAAGTGTTTCTCCTACCTCAGCCTCCTGAGTAGCTGGGATTACAGGCACACGCTACCACACCCAGCTAATTTTTGTATTTTTAGTAGAGACAGAGTTTCACCATGTTGGCCAGGCTGGCCTTGAACTCCTGACCTCAAGTGATCTGCCCACCTTGGCCTCCCAAAGTGCTAGGATTACAGGGCAAAACTTTAGATCAGTAGTTGCCCCGGGGGTTGAGGTGGAGGAAGGATGTGACTGTGAAGATAAACAGAAGGAGGGATTTTTTTTTCGGGGTGATGAAACTGTATCCTGATGGTGGTGGTGGGAATGGAAATCTATACATGTGTAAAATTCATAAAACTATATACCTAAGACAGGTCAACTTTATTGTGTAATAGAAACAAAAAAATTAAACAATCTTATTATTTTGTTGTTGTTGTGGATACGAGAGAGGAATAGGGAGAACTTTTTTTTTTTTTTTTTTTCAAGGAAGACCTGGTTTCCCCCAGTGGTCTGGTGGCCCAAATTAGAGTGACATGAAGGGAAGCACTGGGGGCAAAAGTCCCTCGTATGAAGGACAGCAGGGAGGAGACGATGCTTTTCATGGTAGTCCGCAGGGCATGGCGACATCCCTATGTTTGTCTTTTATTTACGGTGACTTTCCTAAAATACATTACCCAAAGAATTGCATGGAGAAATTACTGTGCAACCCCTTTCCCCAAGGGGAACACCAAAAGGGAATCTAGTTCGGTTTTAAGAGCAGCTTTGGAAGCAAAAGAGCGGTTGCTTTGGGACCAGGAAACAAAGGCTTGACTTGAAATGATGAGAAAGAGCCAGAGATTTGAGGTTTTCGTTTTCCAGTGAACTTTTTAGAGAGTTAACTGCACAGCTCAAAACGGAGGCTAATCAGAGGTGCACAATTAAATTACCATGCACCACTTAGAAAATTAAAGGGTAACTCGATAGTCTGTGTGATTTCGAGGATTAATTTTGAGACAATGTAAATGGCTATTATTAGTATTTGTATTACTGATAATCTTTACATGGGATGCCAGACGTGTTGTGGGTCTTTGGAACAGTAGCTGTCTAAGCTGATTTCAGAGACGAATACAGAGCCGAGGCTATTAAACAAGATGGCCTGGTGATCTCCAGGGTCTGCTTTTGCAGCTTAGGAGCTTTGGGGAATGTGCGGGGGAGTTATTGATGGGCAGGTGCCGCTGGCATTTCCTGGGCAGGGGCTAAGGATGTCAAATGTCCCTCAGCGCCTGGAAGAGCCCCATACAATGAATAATTGTTCCTGGTGATCTTGAAATGTTCTGCCAGACACAAAGGTGAAATTATGTGTGCAGTGAATGGAGCTTGGAACCTAATTCCAGCTCTAAGTTGTTTATATATGGTTTGTATAGTTTTAAAATAGTCTGAATTTTTCAAGAATACAGCTGCCTGGTAAGTCCAATGAAGATGGCTCTTTTGTTTGGAAGCTTAACAAGAGTTGTTTACTCTTAGAAAATCAGGGACTACAATATCCCTGTTGATATTTCAATCCAGGCAACACATACATATCAGTGTACATTTATTTTTTCTGGTTGCATACTGGACAATTTTACGTATGACTATTCTTGTGCTGCATTCAAAATACTGCATAGAAAAGAATGCCAACAATATTCAGTTTAATACTGTTTTCTTTTAATTTTTAACATATTTATTGAGATAT
The DNA here is from genome assembly GCF_000001405.40 of Homo sapiens. Taxonomy (NCBI): domain Eukaryota; kingdom Metazoa; phylum Chordata; class Mammalia; order Primates; family Hominidae; genus Homo; species Homo sapiens. The sequence continues at coordinate 7,325,906 of NC_000010.11, read as the reverse complement.
AATTTACATACTATGCAATTCACCCACTTAAAGTGTACAATTCAATGGTTTTAGTATATTCAGAGTTTTGCAACCACCACCAAAACATTAGAACATTTTCATCATCCCAAAGAGTAAACCGTTACCCGATAGCAGCCACTTCCATCCCCACCCTGATACTATCTTCTGTCAGATCCCCACTTATTTATTGTTAAGTAGATAAAAGATTTGACCGCCACGTTGTACCTTCTGGTAGAGTTGTACCTGAGCCTGTACCTACTGAAGTGTGCTTTATTTTCTTACGAATTACTTTCCACTATTTTTTCTCTCTCAAGATTGGGCATTTTGTGACTTTAAAATAGTTATATGTGAGGGTAGGTTTTGTTACCTCTGAATATGTATTTAGAAGAAGAGAAGTCCTTGGCTCTGACTGGATTGAGAAGACATCCATGGGTCTTCCTTACACAGAGGTGATGACTAAGCAGCAGCACAGCAGATACCTTGTGATAATAGAAGGATTTTAAACTTCTCTGAGTACAGCTTTATTATTTCATTTATTCTCTACCTTTAATATTGGTTATGGCCTGAACGTTTGTGAACTCCCCAAATTCCTATGTTGAAGCCCCCGCAGTGTGGCTGTGTTTGAAAGTGGGGCCTTGGGTGGGGGCGCGGTGGCTCAGGCGTGTAATCCCAGCATTTTGGGAGGCTAAGGCGGGTGGATCACCTGAGGTCAGGAGTTTGAGAGCAGTCTGGCCAACATGGTGAAACCCCGTCTCTACTAAAAATACAAAAATTAGCCGGACGTGGTGGCGGGCACCTGTAATCCCAGCTACTCGAGAGGCTGAGGCAAGAGAATGGCATGAACCTGGGAGGTGGAGGTTGTAGTGAGCCGAGATCGTGCCATTGCACTCCAGCCTGGGCAACAGAGCGAGACTCCGTCTCAAAAAAAAAAAAAAAAAAAAAAAAGTGGGGCCTCTAAGGAAGTAATTAAGGCTCAGTGAGGACATAAGGCTGGGTCCTTAATCCTTTAGGATTACTGTCCTTAAAAGAAGAGGCACCTGAGAGCTTATGCACTCTCCCTCCGCCTCCCTTCTCTGCCTGAGCACACAAAGAGGTCATGTGAACACGTAGCAAGATGGCGGCCACCTACAAACCAGGAGGAGAGGCCTCCGAGTGAAACTGACCATGCTGCCCCCTTGATCTGGGGCTTCCCAGCCTCCAGAACTGTGAGATACGTTTCTGTTTAAGACACCCAGTCTATGCTTTTCTGATGGAGTAGCCCAAGCAAACTAATACAAGTTTCTTCTAGCTGGTAAGAACAACCATTCCCTTGGGACCATAGTGGAAGTGAGTACAGCCATATCTGCCTTTGAGTAAACTCTGACTATGAGGAGTAACTCAGGGAACTCAGATTGGGGTGGAGTTCACAAGATCCTCGGCTGCAGTTTGGGCTCTACCTCTTGGTTTTTGGAGCTCCCCTGCCTGGTCTCCTCCGCGTCTTCTCTTTTTACTTCTGGCTCTTCACTCTGCACCATCACCTCTTACTCCTTATTCCATTATTTTTCAACGTTGCATTGTTGCTGAACCGCAGTGTTTAGCAAACCTTTATTTTCTCATAAGCTGAATATGCGGTGGAGAGAAGGGTTTCCCACAAACATACTAGAAAAAATGTGTGTGTGTGTGATTATAGTAATTATTCACACTTATAGCAAAACATTCATTTGATTCAGGAAAGGACAAAAGGTAAATAAAGTGTTCAGAAATCTCACTATTGTAGAGCTAGAATCATTTTGGGACTACCTAGACAACTTTGTGTGTGCATAGGCAATATATTTACACAGGCATGTACTTTTACATTCATAGAGTCCTACTATATTCACTAAACTGCTTTATAACAGTTTTTGTTGATGTTTTTGGCAATAAATACAGATGAAATATAACATTTTAAATAGCCATATAGAATTCCATTTTATGTATGTATTATGATGGTTGTAACTTGAGGGTCTTTGGGATATATCTCTGTCTCTGCCTATGTCTCTGTCTCTATAACTCTATCATCTGTATCATTTCCCTAATATTACATAATATAAAATGCAAATTTTGTTAAAAAGAAACCTTTTTAAGCAAAGTTCTTTGTACTTCTGATTATCTCTGTACTATACATTGTTCCAAGGAACTTTTTATCAATATGTACTTTCTTTTCTTAAAGATGTTGAAACAAACTTTATTTTTGGACATATCAAACCTAAAGAAAAAGTACAGAGGTTAAAATTAAAAAAATCTGCACAGCACCTGTGGGGCTTTATCAAATTCTAACATTTCAACATACTTCAGATTGAAAAAACCACTATAGTTGAAACCCCATGTAATATTGGGGCTCCTTTCCAACACCTTTTGTCTTCTATGGCAACTGCTGTCCTGAATTTGGTGTTTATTTTCCTCATTTTTTTTTTTTTTGGTTTTTTTTTTTTTTTTTTGAGATGGAGTCTTGCTCTGTTGCCCAGGATGGAGTGCAGTGGCATGATCTTGGCTCACTGCAACCTCCGCCTCCTGGGTTCAAGCAATTATCCTGTCTCAGCCTCCCCATTAGCTGGGACTATAGGCACCTGCCACCATACCTGGCTAACTTTTTGTATTTTTAGTAGAGACGGAGTTTCACCATATTGGTCATGCTGCAAACTCCCAAACTCAGGTGACCAACCCGCCTCAGCCTCCCAAAGTGCTGGGATTATAGGCGTGAACCACCGCGCCCAGCTCCATTTATGTTTTATATTGCATGTATATTTCACCATAAATCATAGTTAGTATTGTTTTTACCTGTTTTCAGACTTTCCATAAATGGTATCAATATAAATAATTTTTCAATTTGCTTTCTCTGCTTATTCCACAACTTCTCTGTTTTCTTCATGTTAGACATTTAGGTTGTCTTTTGCACATTTTTACTGTTAACAAACAGAGCTATGAAGAATACTCTTGGGTGAATGTTCTGGTTTACAAATGAGAGCATTTCTCTGATGATAATGAGACAGTCATTTTCCACAGTGGTTATCATCTAGCCAGCAGCATGCAGTAATCCAAGTTTTCCCATGCCCTGGTCAAAGCTTCATTTTTGGCCTTGGGCTAGATGTGAAATCCTGTCTTTCTGTGGTTTTCATCCATTTTCTGTGATTGCTAGTATGGTTTTGTGTCTTTTCCTAGACATGAGGGTTTCCTTTGTCCATTCGCCTCCCCACTGTCCCCTCTTCCATTTCAACATACCCTGTTTATTAGACCTTACTTTTGTGCTGTGCTGTGTATGTGTGTGTGTGTGTGTGTGTGTGTCTTCCATAAGTTTTCATTTCAAATTCTTAAAAATTTTCTTGTATATTCCTTCTAGAATTTCTAAAAAGTAAAGATCTTTAATCCATCTGGAATCGATGCCTGTATATAGGGCAGTCATTGTTCAGGGCCAGTCAGTTTCAGCTGGGAGCGCCCTTTTTCATCACAGGTGTGAGTACAAACAGGATCATTTTCCTTGTGTACTGTGTCAGTCCACTTTCATACTGTTATGAAGAAATATCCAAGACGGGGTAATTTATAAATAAATAAGAGGTTTAATGAACTCAGAGTTTCACATGGCTGGGGAGGCCTCACAATCATGGCAGAAGGTGAAGGAGGAGCAAAGGCACATCTTACATGGTGGCAGGCAAGAGAGCTTGTGCATGGGAACTCCCATGTATAAAACCATCAGATTTAGTGAGACTCATTCACCATCAGTAGAACAGAATAGGAAAAACCCACCCCCATGATTCAATTCCCCCCTAGTGGGTCCCTCCCATGGGACACGTGGGAATTATTTACAATTCAAGGTGAGATTTGAGTGGGGACACAGAGCCAAACAATATCATGTACCGTGATGTGAAAAAGTTTGGGAAGTGCTGGTCCTATTTGTCATTTTATGACATTCTGCATACATTTAGAGGTCAAATTTGTCAAGTTCCCTAAAAAAACCTCCAATGGAATTTTGATTGGAGTTGCATAAAACTTATTAATGGAGGAATTGAAATTATTATGATTTCAGTTTGCATTTTCTAACAAATGCATTGCAAATGTAAGAAATTATATTTTAATGGATGGACTCAGTGCTGAGTGCTGACAAGCATCCCAGGTGAGTAATAAACCCCTGCCTTCAAGTAGTTCATAGCTTAAAGCTATATGCTTGGAAATGGACAAGGGAGAGTTACAAAATATGGAGGTATTAATGGGACATTTTGACTATACTAAGAAATATACAAACTCTCGTGTTAAAGAATTCAAAGGGAGAAGAGACCATATCAGTGTGTCAGTTTTCTTAATGATTTGGTGAGTACCTACATTGTGCACCTTAAGATGGGATATTTTATCCCTGACGTTATTTTACCCTGAATCACTGTTAAGATGCTCATAAATGCCGGGCACGGTGGCTCACGCCTGTAATCCCAGCACTTTGGGAGGCTGAGGAGGGCAGATCACAAGGTCAGGAGATCGAGACCATCCTGGCTAACACAGTGAAACCCCATCTCTACTAAGAACACAAAAAATTAGCCGGGCGTGTTGGCGGGCGCCTGTAGTCCCAGCTACTCAGGAGGCTGAGGCAGGAGAATGGCATGAACCCGGGAGGCGGAGCTTGCCGTGAGCCGAGATTGTGCCACTGCACTCCAGCCTGGGCAACAGAGTGAGACTCTGTCTCAAAAAAAAAAAAAAAAAAGGATGCTCATAAATGCCTCAGTGAAACTTAGGGTTACCCTCTCCTTTTCAAAGAAGAGATCCACCTTTTCTTTTTTAACTGAGAGCCTTCCTCCTCTTCCCTTGCAGAAAGATTGTTAATTTGTTTTATATAGGAGGAATCCTGTAATAAACCATGTCATTATTAATTAAAAATAACACATGCTGGGTCCTGAGGGAACTCAACATGGAGAAAAGCAGCCACTGAAATTTTAACAGGAGTGTTTTTTTTAGACGATTTATTTAATTATCTTTACTATTCCGAGCAGTGGAGGAACTGGGCCGTTGGCAGGCCCTTATGCGCTTGGATGGGAGTTGCTCTCTCTTAACAGGCAGTTTAGAGCTACAGAGTCAGTAATTTTAATCTCCCAGTGAAAAATGGCATTTGGAATTGGCCTTGAATAGTGGAGGATGTGGGTCATGGAGGGTCTGAAAGACCCTGGGCCTTGAATCTCCATGTCAGCCCGCAAAACACTGAGGTTAGACTCTTTAAACTTTACTTTCTTCATCTGAAAAATGAAAAGTGCTTCCTATTACTTAACCTCCCAGAATGGTGGTAAGAATGAAAAGGAATTCCATATATTGGCTCTCAGCAGGTGTGACTTTACTGTTCTCTGCAATTGTTGATCTTACTTCCTATAGTGAAATGGTTCCTTTCATAAGAAAATACTCCAGTGATTCTCCAGGAAAAAAATAGAAGGAAAGAAGATTTCAAAGGATAAGCTCATTTTTTCCAATCCTAGAGAATCAGCATCTCTGCCCTGGTTCTCTTGTCTGAATTGGAGAACAAGTGGCTGTAACCCTCTGACCCTCCGGCTTGTTTCATTTATACCGCGGGGCAAGATGGTAGAGAACACTTACCACATGATTGGAAGTACTTTGAGGAAGAACTAGATAAAAGTGAGTCATTAATTAATTGTTAAGAGTCAGCAGCTGCACACTCAGGCGTCTCGTTTGATGGGAAAGGGAAGCAACTTGAGTGAATTTAAATCACTTCGCATGTATGACAGTGTATTAAAGTAATGAGCCATGCATCTGGCCAAGTTGGCGTTGTCAAGCTTTGACTTTCTCTGTCTGTCTCTCTCTCTCTGTCTCTGTCTCTCTCTGTCTCTATGTCTCTCTCTCTGTCTCTGTCTGTCTTTGTCTCTCTCTTTCTCTTTCTGTCTCTCTCCTTCTCTGTCTCCCTCTCTGTCTCTCTCTCTGTGTCTCTCTGTCTTCATCTCTCTCTGTCTCTCTCAGTCTCTGTGTCTCTCTCAGTCTCTCTGTCTCTCTCTCTTAGTCTCTCTCTGTCTCTCTGTCTCTCTCCCTCTCTGTCTCCCTCTGTGTCTCTCTCTGTCTCTCTGTCTTCCTCTCTGTCTCTCTCTGTCTCTCTCTCAGTCTCTGTCTGTCTGTCTCTCCCTCTCTCTCTCTCTGTGTCTCTCTCTGTCTCTCTCTCTCTGTCTCTCTATCTTCCTCTCTCTCTGTCTCTTTCAGTCTATCTCTGTCTCTCAGTCTCTCAGTCTTTGTCTCTCTCTGTCTCTCTCTCTCTCTCTGTCTCTCTCTTTGGTAGCACCTAGTTTAATTCCTGTAGCTTACATGCTACAAAAAGATTTTACAAAATCCAGCAATAAACAAAATGAAACTTCCTGATATACCATAACTGATACCTGTGACTCTGGGAATTTCTTAAGACATCCGGAAATAAGTGTACCTTTGTACGTGAAGGACGTTTGTTTTCCCCAAGATCTAGGTCAAATTAAGAACAGACTTGTGTCCCATCCAGTTTGAGATAGGCTGGTTGGCTTTCTCAGGGACCTTGTGTTTGCAGCTCTGTGACAGTATTCAGTTTTAAACTTTGGATTTCTTTCTCCTGAATGAGCAAAAGTAATGCTTTTGCAGAACGCCGGGGAATTAATTGCTGCTAAGATTTGAAGAAAGACATGTGCACAGTTCCTAGCTCTGTATTTTTACCCCAGGAGTACTGCGAACTTGATGATTTTGGTTTAGTGACTTCCTTGCCAGCGGACTTACGTTTTTTGTTTGCATGTTGACTGCTTTGCCTAGAAGTTCTGAGGGACATAGTTTAAAGATGTCTTGCAGTGCACCTGGTTAATGAATCCACCCACGGAAACTCTGCCTCCGTGTCTCTGACTTTGTCTTCTGCGATCCCTCGTGTGGCCCTGCTCCAGTGGGCTTGGCTTCCTTCCCTTTTGTCAGAGATGCCAAGTTGGTTTATGGCCCGGGGCCTTTGTACAGGCGGCACTCTCTGCCTGGAACACCCTTCCCTCAGATAATTGCATGGTTTACTCTCAATTCCTTTAAGTCTCTGCTAAAATGTCATTTTTTTCATGAGGATTTGAGGAATTGTGTACAAATAAAATCAGCCCCACCCTGGCAGATTTATTTCCCTTTTTAGCATTTTTATTGTCTGATAACATATTTGCCACTTGACCATTCGTCTGTCCTAGCCCAGAATAGAAGACGCGGAGACGCGAACCTTTATTATTTTCTCGCTCCAGTTCCCTCAGCATTTGGGCTGTGTATTTACTGAAGGATTGAGTGGATATTCTTCTATCAGTATGACTGATGTGTCATATTGTGGCTCAAGGCATATTTAACAGAGCCACTGTGTTACATTCCTGCTAATGAAAGGTAAATGTTATTTCACTCATTCAAGTCATAAGATTCTTGATTGAGCCCAGGTGCCAGGTACAAGTCCAAGTACTTGGGCATTGGCTGACCTGGAATTCAGGTCATGTATTTCTAAGTGGGGACAATATCACCTCCAAAGAGGTGAAAAAAAAATCATGCTTTTAAAATGTGCCAAGCACAGATGTCAGTATAACACATAAAAAGATATGAAGGATATCTGTGGTTTTACAATTTCATGAGGAGGAGGTGTTTAGAACAAATATCTAAAAGGGCTTCTTAGGGGCATGATAATGAGAGAAAAAAAGGTTGTGAAACCGTGGTCTTTAGGGCAGAGAATATCAGTGAGAACAGGCAAGAAGGTTCTGGCAGAATGCCTCCTGTGTCCCCATGAATTTGCCACTTTCTCTTCTTCCCAGCATTAGCCAGAATTTCATGGTCAGACCTACAAGTACCAGCTCCAGTGGACACTTCTGTGTTGCAGTTAATTCTTCTCCATTCAATATTCCTTAGAGTTCTCAGAAAATCATTTCTTCCTTAAGATGGTGCATATCTTTGTGGTTTGCAGCCACCGTCTTAGACTGTCCCAAGTTGTGGTTAGGATAATACTGAATTGTGGTGTTCTATGACTTGCTGATTTTTTGGAATTTATAACGAAGTCAAATATCTTTTTCATCCAGAGATACAATTTTGTCTTCCAAATGACGCCCACCAGGGGTTTTTGTGCATTTCCTTGGTGGTTTAATAGAATTTGAAACCTAATATTTCATGTCATTTTGTTACATAAATTAGTGTTTTCCTTACGCAGGTTCACACAAGGATCTGACTCAGATCTTTTACCTTCTCCTCTGTGGACCAGGTCAGCGTGGCCAGAAGCTATGATATTGCTGATGTGTACTTTTTTTTTTTTTTTTTGAGACGGAGTTTTGTTCTTGTTGCCCAGGCTCGAGTGCAGTGGCATGATCTTCGCTCACCGCAACCTCCGCCTCCTGAGTTCAAGTGGTTCTCCTCCCTCAGCCTCCTGAGTAGCTGGGATTACAGGCATGCGCCACCACGCCTGGCTAATTTTGTATTTTCAGTAGAGATGGGGTTTCTCCATGTTAGTCGGCTGGTCTTGAACTCCTGGCCTCAGGTGATCTGCCCGCTTTGGCCTCCCAAAGTGCTGCGATTACAGGTGTGAGCCACCACGCTGGCCATGATATGTCTTCGCTTGGAATTGAGAGCAGATGCTTTTATTAAAAATAAGGATCTTAAATTCTGTAGGATTTTTTTTTTTCCATTAAGCTGCCTCTATTTTCGAATGATGAGAGGAATAAAACCATGTGGCTTCCCACAGCTGCCCACATGGGTCCTGCCCATGGATTTAGTGTGGGCCAGTCCTCTGAGTAGGCTCACACACTCAGGACATGACCCTGGGGGAGGGGGCACGAGGACAAAGCCCTCTCCTGAAGGAGCAGTGCTTTCCAAGCCCTGCAAAGACTGCAACTGATGAGGGGGACACGACCAGAATTTTAGAAGGAAGTATGTGCTCATTTAGTACACAGTTGTGAGCTCTGCCACACACTAGATATCACATTTATCAATAGAGAAACAAATAGGCATAGTCCCTGAGTTTAAGGACTTCATAGGCATGCACATATGTATGTGTGGTTTGCATGTGTGTGTGTGTGTGTTTATGTGTGGGGAGGGAGGTTATCATGTTCACCAGCCTACATACTATGGCTATGTAATATCAAGAGGTTCATGGAGAGTCCAATAGGGGATCTTTTTCAGAGGAGTTGATCCTGGAGAAATCCTCGAAGTGAGCAGGCATGCTAGACCATCTTGGCAGGCCAGAAAGGGGAACCTCTTCATTTACAGGCACGATGCTAGTGACTTTGAGACTTCTCTTCATATTTTGTGTGGAATGAAAGAGAGCTGAACAGAGGGCTTGAGTGACTTGTCCTGTGCATGGTGGATCCAGGTTTTAAACTCAGTTGCATGGGAGAAGAATGTCCTCCAGGTCGCAGGCTTCCTTGGGGACCCCGTGGCTGGCCTGTCGTCCCCTGCATAGTTCATTCCAACCTTGCTCTCATCTGAGTGTTCCTTGTGCTGCTTTCCAGCCTGGCGGGGCCCATCACTGACCCATTGGCGCTTCCCTTTCCTGGGTGTGCTGGGCCCACCAGCCTCCACCCAGCCCCTCACCTGCCTGCTCATATGGCTTTGGGGTACGCTCACTGCCTTTTCTAGCCCAGCTGGCTGGATCCCTTGGCCGTAGCATCTTTTCTGCTGGGCTCTGCTCTCAGTGCTGTTTCTGGTCTGCACTGCTCTGAGCCTTTCTAACTGCCCTAGCCCAGCTGTAAACATTGCTGTTTTTCTTGCCATTCTGATAAAAATCCAACACAACCCATTCACTAATTAGAACATTGCATAAACATGAGTCCTGTTGAGGGAGGTCATGCGTTTTGGCTCTTCAAGGTTCACCATCTGTTCTCAGCATGGTCTTTGTATCTCTTCCCTCTGTGATGAAGTAGACCAAGTTCAGCTTCCAATTGTTCCAGGAACTCAGAAATTCTAGTGTTCCTGACACTTCCAGTTTTCCCTGTGTTGTATAGATTAGCCTTAATCTGTGTACTTCTATGCCTGAACATCTTCTTAATAACAGCAAATATTAAGAGGGCTGACTATGTCTCAGGTGCTGTTGTACAGGTTTTACATTAAGACTTCTAGCAAGCCTGTGAGGTGGGGACTGTTCTTGTCCCTGTGGAAACCGAGGATCAGAGAGGAAAAGTAACTTGCTGAAGGTCATACAGCTCTTAACTGGTGTATCTGGGACTTGAATAATCTGGGTTAGTAGCAGATTGAAATTATTTGGCATATGGACTAGTCAGGGTTCTCCAGGAACACAAAACCTGTAGGATGGTGATATTGAGAGATTTGTTCCAAGGAGTTGGCTCCTGTGATGATGGAGGCTGACAAGTCCCTAGATCTGCAGTTGGCAGGCTGGAGATCCAGGAGAGCTGATGGTGGAAGATGGTGTAATTTCCAGTCCTAGCCTGAGGCCTGAGAACTGGAACTGGTGGAATAGTTCTTGTCTGAAGGCCTCCAAGCTCGAGACCCAGGAAGAGCCAATATTTCAGATAGAGTTGGAAGGTGGGAAAAAGCCATCATCCCCCAAAGGCAGTGAGGCAGGAGGGATTCTCCCTCACTTGGGGGTGGATCAGACTCTTGTTCTATACAGGCCTGCGATGGATGGGATGTGGCCCACCCATAGCATCTGCTCTACTCAATCTGCTGATTCAAATGCTAATGTCAGCCAGAAACACCCCAAGAAACACCCAGAATAATGTTTGACCAAATATCTGAGCATCATGGCCAGGCACATTGACACACACAATGGACCCTCACAGGGGATCGTGACGTTTTACTCTTGTGCTGCCGGATTGGCTGGCTTGCTTGCTTGCTTTTTCTTTCTTTCTTTCTTTCTTTCTTTCTTTCTTTCTTTCTTTCTTTCTTTCTTTCTTTCTTTCTTTCTTTCTCTTTCTTTCTTTCTCTCTCTTTTCTTTCTTTCTTTCTTTTCTTTCTTTCTTTCTCTTTCTCCCTCTCTCTCTCTCTCTTTTCTTTCTCTCTTTCTCTTTCTCTCTCTCTCTCTTTCTGTTTCTCTTTCTCTTTCTCTCTTTCTCACTCTGTTGCCCAGGCTGAAGTGCAGTGACACGATCTCGGCTCACTGCAACCTCTGCCTCTTGAGTTCAAAAGGTTCTCTTGCCTCAGCCTCCCAGGTAGCTGGGAATACTGGGGCCTGCTACCATGCCCAGCTAATTTTTGTATTTTTAGTAGATACAGGGTTTCACCATGTTGGCCAGGCTGGTCTCGAACTCCTGACCTCAGGTGACTCCCCTGCCTCAGCCTCCCAAAGTGCTGGGATTATAGGTGTGAGCCAATGTGCCCAGCCGGGTCTGGTTTTTTATGCATGTTTTAGCTGTAATGCCCTTGTCCTTCCAAAGAGCTATAGTCACAGAAAGGCTGGGATAATAACCCAACATCTTACACCAAGTGTGGTTGAGATAGAAATCCCAGAGATCATGTGATCGTTAAGAAATGTTACAGGTAGTGCTTGTTCATTCTTCCGGGTATCTCTTGTGTGGTTTGCATAGCTGCCTAGCAGTTCAACATTTGGATTTGCCATTATGTAGCAATAATGCAGTGGTAGGCTCCTTGCTGTTAATGCTTTGTGGATTTTTCTGTAACTTGTAAATAAGTTAGCAGATTTAGTCATTTTGCGAGGCAGCAAGTGGAAACAACTAAAACTGTTTGGTGTCCCATTTTGATTAGCGCTGTGTCATCTGCCTCCCACTTAAGGGGTTGTCCCTCTTTTCTCTATTGAAGGAAAATGCTAGTTTGGATATAAGAGTAAATCCTAACGTGCAATGATTCTAAATTAGACTCTTACTAAATGTTCTAACTAGGACATGTTTGAATCAGTGATAATTTCAATAGGGGTTCATGCTATTTTTCCATTACTTTTTAAAAAATGACAAAAGTAACTTGGAAATGAAAATAGCATGTAGATAAATATATAAAGTAAAATGTGAAAGTCCTCCTTCCTCTCCCCCCTTCAAACTCACTTCCCAGAAATAACTGCAGAAAAGCTGTGCATGTATCTAGATATTTTCCTGTTTCTATAAAGATACTCTTATGAAGGTATTTTACATTAGAAATTTAGATGAGAAAAGTGGTGTCTTGCCAAACACACAGTTCTGAGACATGTTGGTTTCACTCAACCATCTTACAACCTGGCTGGACATGGTGGCTCACACCTGTAATCCCAGCACTTTGGGAGCCAAGGCGAGAGGATCACTCAAGCCAAGGAGTTCAAGACCAGCCCGGGCAACAAAGTGAGACCCCCATCTCTAAACAAAACAAAACAGCAAAAACAAAAACAAAAACAAAAAACCCCAATCGTTTGTTTGGCTGGGTGCGGTAGCTCATGCCTGTAATCTCAGCACTTTGGAAGGCCAGATCACTTGAACCCAGGAGTTGGAGACCAGCCTAGGCAACATGGCGAAACTCTGTCTGTAGAGAAAACACAAAAACTATCGAAGATTGGTGGCATTCACCTGTACTCCCAGCTACTTGGGAGGCTGAGGTGGGCAGATTGCTTGAGCCTAGGAGGTCAAGGCTGCAGTGAGCTGCAATCGTGCCATCTTATTTCACTCCATTGCTTCTGTGCAGTATGGATATGTCACATAACTTTTTAGTCAATGTTGAATATTATATTCGCCCCTCTAGGTTTTTACCATACACAGTGCAATTGCGTTGTAGAACAATACAATTGAGAACAATTGTATTATATTTATTATATAAATAATGTTATATGTTATTATATATAATATATATTATTATGTATAACAATTGTATTATTCTCTCTGTATTTTAAAATTTATTTTCTTCATGACTTATGGGATGTACAGGCTCTGGGCTCAGCATCTTGCACGGAGGTGGTGGATGCTATGAGGATAACGCTGCTGGGAATACTGGCTGCAGGTCATATCTGAGAGCAGAACTCAGTGTTTTATTTAGTTTATTTCTCCCGAGGTGGATGGAGCACCCCAATCCTCTCATTACAGTCCTTTGGCAGAGCCAAACCTGGAAGCATCCCCAATCCCAGAAAATCTGTCTAGTTTTTACTTTGAAATGCTGTCCCTCTCCTTCTGGAATTAGGTTATATTGTCTGTTTACCTGGTAAGTAATTAAAATCTCAGTTTCAGCACTTTATAATTAACTAAAGGGAAAAAATAACTCCAGCATGACTTTCTATTCTGGGGGGTTCAGTAAACACCATTGTGATTCGCTAACGCCCCTTAGGAAGATCACTAATAGCTATAAACGAAACAGACCATTAAGCTGAGAACAGAGGTCTCCGGGCAGTTGCAGTCTACTGATTTGCTGATTATTGCTGGATGTTTATGTGACTATGTGCAGTTCAAACCCCTGTGAGTGGGTGAAACATGAGGCTGTCTCCGGCCGGTTGTCCAGGATGTGGGTTCTAAGGCAAAATTTCTGGATTCTCGTCATTCTCTTTTCCTCTATTTTATTCTGTATTTTACTTCTGGCCTCAGCATTCCTGTTCCCCCAAATCTGTGCTGCTCCCTTGTGCTTTACTTCTGTCTTGTGAAGATGTGGATAATGGTCTGCTGGACTCATCACGTGCTCGTGCTGTTCACCCGTTGGTAGTTTGGCTGCGTTGGGTGGTGGCCTCGGCTCCCTCGGACCTCTAGAGCCCTGTTGATGCCGTTACTACTCCTACAAGCCTATGGCTTATGCCTTAGGGTGGTGCAATTTTTTTTTTAAATTATACTTTACGTTCTAGGGTACATGTGCACAATGTGCAGGTTTGTTACATATGTATACATGTGCCATGCTGGTGTGCTGCACCCATTAACTCATCATTAACATTAGGTATTTCTCCTAATGCTATCCCTCCTCCCTCCCCCCACTCCACGACAGGCCCCTGTGTGTGATGTTCCCCATCCTGTGTCCAAGCGTTCTCATTGTTCAATTCCCACCTATGAGTGAGAACATGCGGTGTTTGGTTTTCTGTATTTTTTGTAAGTGCTTCGTAAAAACATTCTGGGCCAGGGAAATGAAGAGATTTTTAGTTTGCGACTTGTAGAGTGAAAAGAAAGAATTTGAATGAGTTACAAATGACCTTTTCAGGAATTGTTGCCCGGGCCTTTCTTCAACTGCCCACTAACTCCGGCACTTCAATAAACCCCCTTTTTTAGAGGCATTTAGAAGGGCTGTGACAAGTGTATTTACAGCAGATAAATTTAGCTCATGTATTTTATCTACATAATCTGATTGTAATTTATATATCTTCAGCCTAGATAAAGGAAATCTATTTCTTATTACCAAATTTTTCTTTTTGTCAACATGACGTGAGTAGGATATTGACTTTAACTGAAGGGTGGTGATTAATCATAGCAGCTTGCAGGGAGATCATTTATTGCTCTGTGTAGCTGAGCGACTGCTGGCAGAGTTGTAAGTCAATCAAGATAAACCCAAGTGGGTTAGTCACTCTTGGATGACGATGGAGGATGTGATAGATTTATTAGCCAAGTTCTCCTTTAAAAATCACTTTACATTCTTAGCAGGTGAATTTGCAGATAGAAAAATACCGAGTCGCCGTCAATGGAAGAATCTGTTAGTTTGCAAAGTAGAGTATAGCTGTTGAAATGTCACAATGAAAGATGGACTACCTAGAGATAGCCATTGGAAATGTTTAGCTCTAGATTAATCTTGTTAAGTTCAAAGAGGGCAATTATGTTCTTAGTAATTCAGGTGCTCGATAGACTGGGAAGAAGAGATTTGTTCTGTGTACAATTACATGGATTGTATAATGGGACATCTTAAGATTTAGAATGAAACAGTTTGTTTTTTTTTTAGGGGAAACTTTGTAATTGTAACCCTGGCTGACAGTTTAGTTTGTTTTGTTTTATTTTGTTTTTGTTTTGTTTTTTTTTTTTTTTTTTGAGATGGAGTTTCTCTTGTTGCCTAGGCTAGAGTGCAATAGCACGATCTTGGCTCACTGCAACCTCTGCCTCCCGGGTTCAAGCGATTCTCCTGCCTCAGCCTCCTGAGTAGCTGGGATTACAGGCGTCCGCCACCATGCCCAGTTAATTTTTTGTATTTTTAGTAGAGATGGGGTTTCACCAGGTTGGCCAGGCTGGTCTCGAACTCCTGACCTCAGGCGATCCGCCCACCTTGGCCTCCCAGAGTGCTGGGATTACAAGCATGAGCCACCGCGTCTAGCCCTGGCTGACATTTTTTGCACACGAAGCCTTTTTTTCAAACCTGCCTGTTTCCTCTATGGAGCTAGCATGTAGTCAGAAAATGCACAGCAACTTCATATGAGCCTTAGCAAAAGAAAATTCTGAAGAAGATCCATTTAGGAAGAGGAAAAATCAGACAGACTTTGCCAAAAGTAAATGTCAGTGATTCCTGAGTTACCCACCCCTTTCATCAATTTCATCACTGTTTTTCCTCATTAGAACAGATAGAGAATGGACTACTGTATTAAAATGTTTAGATGTACCCTTTATCACTGTCTGTTTCTTTCATTGCTTGAGGAGGTAGGACAGAAACAAAGTTCACCTTTCAGCTCAGGAAGGTAAGTGCCTTGGGCACGGGGTGCACTAACCGTGGCATGAGATCCCAGCAGTTGGAATCGGCATCTTGGGACATGGAGTTCTCAGCGCCTGGCATTCATGCCCGGTTTTGCACCTTGTTCTGGTTTGGGCATTTCCCCTCTGGCGTGGGACAGCATGATGTGTCCTTGTCGGAGAGGTCTTTCTGTGTACCGAATCAACATGTGACATTTGGCTAGACAGCATCAAGTTAATATAGATGTTTGAAACTGTTCACCAGGTGCTCTCTCTAAACCAGTGGTTCCCAACTAAGGAGGATTTTGTTCCCCAGGTTATATTTGGCAATATCTGGAGACAAGTTTTGTTGCCACAACTGGAGGCAGTATTATTGGCATTAGTGTGTAGGACCCGGGGTACTGCTAAACATCTGCAGAATACAGCGCTGTCCCCTACAACACAGAGTGATGTGGTCCAGAGTGTCAATAGTGCTGATACTATTAAAAAACCCTGGTCTAGACTGGAGCCATCTCTGGGCTTACTAAGGGCATATTTAGGTCTTTTGGTCTTTACTGGTTTTTCTGGCTGAATTGTCTTTGGTTTTTCATTGTTACAGACACCCACCTCCTCCTCCTCCTTTCTTGAAAGGATTATTATGGATGTAAGAGGCTATGCGTAGGACATTTACTGAATTACTATTTTAACATGAGAGTAAGGCGAGCATATATGTTCCCTTATAAAAATGTAGTAGGGTAAGTAACAAGGGCAGGTTCAGGGTGCCTCAGTAGCTGCTGCGACAGGTCAGCACATCTCAGGGCCTGATGCTGTGATGTTTAATTTTGTTGATCCTGTCACAGTCCAATGTGAGGGACAGACAGCTTTTCCTATACACCCCCGTTCCATGTGCCAGCTATCTTCTATCCTGGGGCCCTGCCATCTTTGTCAGGCCTCGTCCTCCTCTGCATTCAGCTGGAGATAGGAAAGAAAGAGCTTGGAGAAAGCACAGCTTCACTTTTCACGGGTGAGAATCAGCCCTGTGGCTTTAACTGAGAGGCAGCAGACCTGGACAATGTGTACCTGGCTGATGAGACCATCAATCTCTGACATGGATTATGTGAACAGATATTGGTCAGTCCACAAATGTTTACACAGCCGCTTCATAACAGTGACAAAGACCGACGTCTTGCTCCAGCATTCAGGCAGGAGAAGGTCCCCCTTCCTTGCAGGAATAAGGTTAGCCCTTTGTTCTATGCAGTTCTTCAACTGATTAGATGAGGTCTATCCACATGACGGAGGGCTGTCCACTTTACTCAGTCTACAATTTCAAATGTTAGCCTCTTTCGGAAACACCCTCGCGGATGCACCCAGAATAATGTTTGGCCAAATATCTGGGCACCTCGTGGTCCAGTCAAGTTGACACATAAAATTAACTGTCATGACCATTGAACTTGAGGATCCTTTCACATGTTTTCTAGCCATTTGGATATCCATTTCTGGGAAGTGCGTAAGTGTCTTTGCTCATTTTTCTTCTTTCTACTGGTCTGTAGTTCTTTATTGATCCGGCATTAGTTATGTGTTGCAGAATCAGTTGATTGTTTACTGTGCAGGCTTCTGTAGTGTGAGAGAGTTCATGTGTAACTGGTAAGTACAGCATTCATGTCTGCATAATGTAAAAGTGGGCCCACTTTCCCGGTAGCTTCCCCAGCACGTTAATGTTTTACATCAAGTAATAGCCGCTGATCACCAGCTACCTTAGCACAGCTGAAATGAGAGAGCTGCAGGGGAGCCAGGAC
Source organism: Homo sapiens (assembly GCF_000001405.40). Classification (NCBI taxonomy): domain Eukaryota; kingdom Metazoa; phylum Chordata; class Mammalia; order Primates; family Hominidae; genus Homo; species Homo sapiens. The sequence goes on along the minus strand of NC_000010.11, from coordinate 7,308,640 downwards.
TATCACATTGCCATTCACCTTACATTCTTTCTGTTGGTGACCTTGGGTCATGTGCTTTTTCTTGGAAGTTTTATGTCCCCATCTCCAGCATCCTTGGACATTTGTCCTTGGCCCCATTAATGTAGCATTTTCAACCCTTCCTTATATTTCTCTCCATCAAGTGACCTCCACCTTTCAATTTTTTTTTTAAGGAAAAGGTCTAAATTTATTGTAGTATTTATTAGGTATGTAACATGCCTTTTAATAGGTGCTAAATTTTTGTTGTTGTTTGTTTGTTTTTTGAGATGGGGTCTCTCTCTCCATCGCTCTGGAGAGTGCAGTGGTGCAATTATAGCTCATTGCAGCCTCTACTTCCTGGGCTGAAAATGATCCTATGGCATCAGCCTCTCAAGAAGCTGGGACTAGAGGCGTGTACCACCAGGCCTGGCTAATTTAAAAAAAATGTTTTTATAGAGATGGAGTCTTGCTCTGTTGCCTGGGCTGGTCTCAAACTCCTGGACTGAAGGAGTCCTTCTGCTTCAGCCTCCTGAGTCTCAGGCACTATAGGCACGAGCTGCTGCACCTGGCTTACATGCTAATGTTATGGTGAGGATGTTAGGATTATTACTATTTTTGTAAGTTATGTGGCTTTGAGAATTCTTCCCTAAACCTTAGTTTTAATAAGCTGTCTTATTTTCAGCACTCATATTTGCAAAATGGGACACTTTTCAGGAACAGATATGTGATATTATAGCAGAAATTCTTGCTTTTAATAGTTTGTGGCTTGTAGTTTTCTTTTTAATGACTTCTTAGTGGATGGAAATTCTTAATTTTACTAAGCTGATTTTATTGATCTTTTATGCTTTCTGTGTCTCCAGTAAGAAATCTTTTCCTCTTCCACATGGATAGCAAAAATGTATTCTATATTCTTGTTCTCCAACAGCTTTGTAGTTTTGCCTTTCCCATGTAAGTCCTTAGTTCAACTGGAATTGATTTTCAGGCAGTGCATATAGCAGAAGACTAATTTCTTTTTTCTCCATACGGATAAACCAGTTGTCCTAGAACTATTTATCAGAGAGTCTGTTCTCCCCCTACTGATGTATGGAGCCAGTTCTAACCATTAATTGGATTTGTCTATTTGTTTGACTTCTCTATTTCATTTCACTAGTTTGTCTAGTCTCTTTATCTATACTGTATCTTTAAAGTTGTTTATGTATGACTGCTTTTGTCATCTGTATGGCAGGGTCCCTAGTTTGTTGGTGTTCTTGAAGAGTGTTTTGGCTCTCCTTGGGACACTTTACTTCCATATAATTTTTAGAATTGGGTTATCTAGTTCTACAAAAGAAATCTGTTGGGATTTGGATTGGAATAGGGTCGACTAAATCGTTTTAAGGAAAATGTACATCTTTATAATACTGAGTTCTCTAATCCATGAACATGGTATGTATTTCCTTTGTTTACATCTTCTTTTATGTATTTTTATAAAACATTGTAGTTTTCTGTGTAATAGTTTTCTACCTTTTAGAAGATTTATTCTTATATATTCTATGTGTTTTGAAGCTTATGTAAATGGTATCTTTTAAAATTTATATTTTTCTAAGTGCTGTTTGCATGAATATTTTTGTATCAATAGTGAGACTTAAAGGACATTTTGCCCTAAGGTATGCCATATTTTCTACCCCATGGTTATCAGGGATGCTTTGGCATGAGGATGGTGGCTTGGTAATTTTAGCTGTTTCCTCTCTCCCCATATGCAATGTAAATGACATGCATTTTTAACTTCAGCCAGTATAGTAACACACTTATTGATAATCTAGAAGTTGCTAGCATTGCACAGAGCATCCTGGAGTAGGGACAATGTTTTCTCTTTTCCTCTTTGTCATTTGTCATATCATTTTCTCTTTCCTTCCTCTTTTTTTTCCCCCCTTTTCTTGGCTTCATCTTCTGTATCATTTTTTTTTTAGTTGCTATTTGTGGCATATATTATATTTGTAGATGATTATTATTAATTCTTTTAAAGCATCCTTGATTTGATGAATTATAGATATTATCTGATCCATTGTATCCTACTCTTAGAATACCTGCTTCTTCTGGAAACTCTACAGCGGGGGTTAGCGAACTTTTTCTGTAAAAGGCCACAGAGTAAATATTTTGGGCTTTGTGGGCCATCTGGTTCCTGTTGCCGCTACTCAGTTCACTGTTGTGGCACGAGAGCAGCCGTGAGCAATACATAAATGAATGACGTGGCTGTGCTCCAATAAACTTTATTTACGGACACAAAAATTTGAATTTCATATAATTTTCATATGTCATGAAATATTGACTTTTCCAACCATTTAAAAATGTGAAAAACACTCTTGGCTTCTGAGCCTTGCAAACACAGGCAAGTGCCGGGGGTGGGTGGAGTTTGGCCTGAAAGCCACGCACAGTTCACTGAAGCCTGCCGGAGAGCACTCTGTGTGTGCCTCTAACTGAAGACTGACTCCACACACTTGTCATTGACTGGGGCATGGTTAATGGCTTCTTTTTGACCCCTATGAACATAAATTGAATCTTTGCAACATTAAGGTACAGGTATGGCTTAATGAAAGGCTGCCTTTCTAAGTCAGTTGGAAAACGAGTCCATTTTAAGTTGATCTGAAATACTTAGAGTTTAGTAAATAAATGAGCTATATCAAATATGTGTAACACTGAAGGCTAATTTCTTTCAGACTCTGCTTTGAATCGTGTTCCAGTAATTGGGGCAACCCATAGAGATGGTTTTGTTTTACTTCCCCACACTGTTCCTGCTGTGTTCTGAATGAGGAAAGAGGGATTTGGAAAGGTTAAGTGATTTCACTGGAGTCACAAAACGTGCAGAAATTGGAACATAACCAGTTCAGTCCAGTGCCATTTCTACTTTTGTCGCCTTGCCTCTCCTGCATTCTTCTAGAAAATTTGAGTCTCCCGAAAGGGTAGACCTTTGCTAAGTCAATGGTGCAGTATTGATAAGGCTGCCCCAGACTGCCAGTTAGGTATCTGGTTTTCCCGTTGATTTCACTCTGTCTGGATGATCTTCCTTCCTGGCTAGACAGGGATCAATTTTCCTGTTTCCTTGCATCATGCCTACCATAATGGTGCAATTTATTTTCTTGTTCAATGCTTGCTGAATACTACGCAAGTCAGAGACAGCTTGCTAGGGGGCTGGAGGTGGGCCCAATAAAATATCATCCCTGTTTCTCACAGGAGTTTATAATATAGTGGAGGACCCACAGGTACTTAATTAATGACAGGATACAGGAACTCGGGGAGGGAGACACTGCTGAGTTATTGTTCATGTATGGAAAAAGCTTCTGTAAAAGAACCTAAATATCATTTATAGAATCTAGCACACTGGCTTCAATGCTGATAGCCTGTCATTTAATCATCATGCCAAGTACTTTGCACGTGGAAAGAAGACGATTGCAGGTGATGTCGCCTCCCTAATTGTAGGTTGATCCTTGAAGGTTTATTTTTGAGATTCAGTAATTACCCGAGTAAGCAGCATGGGTAGAATTTTTTTGCAATGCCTTTTTTCACAGTTTTGCTAAAAGAACTTCCACTTTAATACTTTACTAATGAACACAGGCGCTCTTTCTGTAGAAGGAGAGGGACTCTGAGCTAGGAGCTGATGCTCCTGTTGTCACTCCTGAAAAGAAAAGGGAGGAAGATAACTCTGTTGGTCCTCCTGCCATGCTGTTTCTGGAGCCTGTCCTCCCAGGGGTGCAACTGTCCTGTTTCTTCTCACGTAATTAGGAGGTGACTGACATGGAGAGCTGTCTCCTTTAGGCACAGGGTGGGACCTGTCTTATTCCAAATGTAGATTTAGTAGTACTTTGGTACCCGGTGGTGTTTGTCCCTCTTCTCTGTCCAGACAAGAGATTTCCTTCTCCTTTCCTGAATTTGTTTTTGACATGAATCTTTGGAGTTAGAATTTCTCTCTCTGATGGACGGCATCGATAGGATATTTAGGCATAGTTAAATCGTATTCAGTATATTTCATATCTGTAAAGTCTAAGGGCCTGGACAGCCATTCCTCACTGAGCTATTGCTGTTACTCAAATGAGTTTGGGAGTTCTGACACTGATTTGTTAAAGGTCCCTTGGAACATAACCCGTTTGTTAAGTTAGGGACTCCTTGTAACCATATTGAGAAAACCAAGCCCCTTAGTACGTGTATTAGTCCATTTTCACTCTGCTATGAAGAAAGACCCAAGACTGGGTAATTTGTATATAAAAAAAGAGGTTTAATGGACTCACAGTTCCACATGGCTGGGGAGGCCTCACAATCATGGCGGAAGTCAAAGGGGAACAAAGGTATGTCTTGTATGGTGACGGGCAAGAGAGTGTGTGCAGGGGAACTCCCCTTTATGAAACCATCAGATCTGGTGAGACTTACTCCCTGTCACAAGAACAGCATGGGAAAGACCCACCCCACGATTCAGTTACCTCCCAGTGGGTCCCTCCCAAGACACAAGTGAATTGTGGGAGCTACAGTTCAAGATGAGATTTGGGTGGGGACATAGCCAAACCATGTCAGTGAGTGATTTGCTTGGGTTCATTCTGTTTCTCTGCTCCCTGTGCTGAAGACCCATCTCCGTGGCCCACCTCGCCCATGCAGAGAGCACTTCATTTATCGTGGGCTCCTGCCTTTCGGCCAGCACCTTCTGTCGGGTGTCGCAGGATCCTTAGTAACATGCAGGAAGGGAAATGAGAGGAAAGAACAATGAAATAATCTTTGATCTTCTCCACTCCATGTAACCTAACTTTTTATGTGGTCAAGCAAGATAAGCTCCTATCTGGCATAAATATGTGTGACTACATTTATATCCCTGCTTACAAAATCATTCTAAAATGGTAATGAAATATTGCTTCTCCCTTTCTCTTCCGGCAGAAAATATTCTAAAGAAATAAGAATTTTGATGAGGAGTGGTTATTGAAAGGGGCATTTCGGACTGGTTTTAAATCTCAGTAATTTATTTTATTGGGGTTATTGAAATACTGGATATACTGACAGAAATCATCAAGAGCTTATGGTTATTGGATAAGTGAACTCTAGGTTGTGGTTATATTTAGTGTCTAAATAAGGCCCTATTTTATTACACCACCCTTTCTTTCTCTTTTTCTGTCTCTCTGTCTCTCTCTCTCTCTCTTTTTAGTCTCGGATTACCCCATCTTTCCGTGGTGGAAAGAATAATGGTTGCAAAGTGAGTAGGAAATTTATTTCTCTGTACTCATCTGGCATGAATTGTTTGCTCTACATAAATTGATGAATTACTGCTTCTAAGGCTGACATAATAGTTTTTGTTTTGTTAAACAACTATAAATTTCATCTAATACAGTCTTAGTGTTAACAGGAAGAAAACCATAAGTTAATATCTGCTACATTTCATTGCTTAAAAATAATTGCTAGTAGTAAAGCTTCATTTTTCACAAACATAATTTGATCTCAGGTAATTGATAGAAGAAGAATTCAGGGAATTTGTTCAGGGTCTGTTTACAACTGACTTTTTCAAGAACTGCCACATGCAATAATCCAAATGCATTCTGGTTATGAAATAAAGCAGGCAGAACTTACAGTCAGCCTCAGAATGACTTATTGACAGCTACAGGTGCAGCATTTTTTTTTTTTTAACATTGTAACCCTTTTGCAAAGTTTTTATTGAAATGTTTTATGATATAGTGTTTTTGATTTGTCTATTTGAAGAATCATAGAAGACAAAACCTTAGGAACTTTACTTATTCTAAATTTCCTGTTCTGTTATTGATAAGAAAGAAAAAGAGAGAGAGAGTGAGGGAGTCAGTTATTCAAATACACCTCCTTTCATTCCTACTGGTGCTTACAAACCAAATGCAGCTTGTATTTTAGGCGCGGGGACTCCTCAGCTCCACCTAAACTGAGGAGGGAAAGGTATGTCATAATTTTTGTTCTTTCTCAACAGTTTTCCTTTAATAACAACCTGATTTATGATGTTGAATCATGATCCTCGCACTTTGGAATGCTCCTTGTAATCAATCACTTTTACTAGACCTTCTTTCTCATAAAAACAAGAATCAAGCCAGTTAATTGCCCAGGCATGCATCTCTGCTTACAGAATAGTCATGGAAACCCTGGCTTGTCATGTTTAGGAACTTCCCCTGGGTTATGCCAAGGGTCAAGGGTTGATGTCACAGCCACGTTTGGAGCTGTGAGCTCCCACTCTGCTCCTCAGCATGTGGAGTGACATTTATTCTCTTTGTGGCTAACTAGTTAATGTGAATCCCCACAGCATTGCTATTGAAGCAAATACCATGACTGGGGTAATAGTAACATTTTGAAGATGAATTCAGACTATAAGAACTGAGTTTGTTGCTGAAATATTTCAACTACATGAGAGAAGAGGGAGGGTGCCTTGTCTTATTAGCAAACAAGTAACTATCTGGTTGTAGGTTGTACAGGGACTTTGGCAAAAAAGGAGGGAAGCTGAGGACACAGGCACGAAGATTTAGGTTGGAATTAAGAGGGCATTTTCCGCAAGTGGAGAAAGGAAAGCGAGTTATCAAGGTAGGTCATGGAATTACCTTGCCAGAGGATTTGTGTTGTTTTCTGGTAGTTTTCTGTTGTTATCTGGTTGGAATTGTGGACCTATGACTGGGACCATATTGAGGCTTATGACGGTCTCTGTGCTTCCCCCAGTCCACACCTCCCCTGTCCCTTGGGGTCAGTGGAGGTTCTAGTCTGCATAACTATGCTGGATTAGCTCCTGAGGTCTCCCAGCCCAAAACGGTTTTTTAAAAAATTCTACACCAGTGGTTTTTTTTCCCCTTCGATAGTCTAGAGCCACGCAGTTCTCCTCCCTTTTCTTTCAGCAGCACCAGGAAAGGCTGGAATGGGGACTCCTAGCATCTGTAGAGAGGCGTGGCTCTCATACTAGGTGACTTCTGGGGAGCCCATGTCAAGAAATACCAGTTTCTGCGTTTCAGAATAGTAAATGGCCCAACTTGGAGCTGCAGCTCCTCCCTCTCATTGCAGTCTCTGGTTTGTCCTGTGGAGGCAGCGGAGATGCCCCTGGCTGGTGTTCCGCGAATTTGCCGGCCCCGGGGACCTGCCCCCACTGTCTCAGTGGAAAGTGTGCCACTAACTGCCGATGGCTGAGTGTGCAGATACAGCCCAGGCCCCTTCAGGCCTGTGGGCCTCCGTGCCTGGACTTTGTTCTAGTCCCTCCCGGGTTTCCTCCGCTGTCTCATGAGTTCGGGCTTTCTTCATTCCTCACTTGATGATTGGAAGAGCTGCTTGACCCATCAGCGTTTCTGTGGCATCTCTCCTTTCAAAACGATCCCTGTAGAGGGACTGGCAACTAGTCCATAGTGTCTTGCTAGTTACTAGTGTCTCACGCTGATTTGCACATGACATAAAGACGCTAATAACTGCCTCATGCTGATTTGCACATGACGTTCTTTATGCTGACTATTCCCTTCCCCGAGACTTTCAGTGAAGGAACTTCTGTTCGTTGCAGGCATGGTTCTCAACTGCCTCCATCGGGAAGCATCCTGGCCCTGGTGCCAGGGCTTCCACGGTATCTGGGGTTTACTCCTTCCTTCACTGAGTTACCTGCTTACATTCCTGTTTTCCATATGAAACTCCTTGAACATAAGGACTGTGTCTTAATGATCTTTATTTTCTCTCCAATATCTGGACTTTTGTACGACACAAAGGAAAACAGTCAGCCTGTGTGTTTTCAGTAGAAGCAATTTATCATCTTTCTAACTGTATAATGCTAAATTCCAAACAGTCTAAGCAGCTCTCTTGGAGTTTGCAGCTAATGACAGAAATAGTACAGAAAGTCATTTAACCTTTAATCCAGTGCTCTAACTCACTAAATATAAAACATTCTTAAAAATACATTTGTGCATTTGCCAATTGTTTATTAGATTTCTGCTCAGTGCCAGAGACGATGCTGGGCCTGGAGGAGAAAGTTTGAACAAGAGTAATGCTTTTCCATCCTCACAGAATGCAGTGGGCTGTCAGAAGCGGTAGGGAACAGCTGGGCAGATACTGTGATGTGTGACATACACCACATGGGAGGGAAATTCCCGGGCTGGGTGGGCAGGGGTTGAGGAGGATGTTCTAAAGTATGTGTGAAGGGGGCAGTGTGAACTGCAGGCACACTGAATGAGAAGCCTGAGGGTTGACCAGGAATGTTGTCAAAAGACTACCTTGGAAGTTGGAGTGAACGACTCAGCCCCATGAAATGAGAGTGGGAGTCTGTCATCCATCTGTGGCAGATACTCCCTAGGATATTTGTTACTCAGTGTGAGTGTAGCCTGCTTAGTCTCTTTTAATTTTTATTTGTTCTTTATTTCTTAAAAAAAAAAAAAGCTGGATACATGTGCAGAACGTGCAGGTTTGTTACATAGGTTATGTGTGCCATGGTGGTTTGCTGTACCTGTTGACCTGTCCTCTTAAGTTTCCTCCGTTCCCCCTCCACTCCCCATCCCCCAGCAGGCCCTGGTGTGTGATGTTCTCCTCTCTGTGTCCATGTGTTCTCAATCTTCAACTCCCACTTACGAGTGAGAACATGTGATGTTTGGTTTTCTGTTTCTGTGTTAGTTTTCTGAGGATGATGACTTCCAGCTTCATCCATGTCCCTGCAAAGGATATGATCTTATTCCTTTTCATGGCTGCATAGTATTCATTCCTTTTTATGGCTGCATGGTGTATATGTGCCACATTTTCCTTATTGAGTCTACCATTGATGGGTATTTGGGTTGGCTCCATGTCTTCGCTATAGTAAATACTGCTGCAATAAACATATGTGTGCATGTGTCTTTAAAGTAGAATGATTTATATTCCTTAGTAGAATGATTTATATTCCTTTGGGTATATAAATCATTCTACTATAAAGACACATGCACACATATGTTTAATATATAAATAAATGGGATTGCTGGGTCAAATGATATTTCTGGTTCTAGATCTTTGAGGAATCGCCATACTGTCTTCCACAATGGTTGAACTAATTTACACTCCCACCAACAGCGTAAAAGCGTTCCTGTTTCTCCACAGCCTCGCCAGCATCTATTGTTTCCTGACTTTTTAATAATCACCATTCTGACTGGCATGAGATGGTATCTCATTATGGTTTTGATTTGCATTTCTCTGATGATCAGCGATGTTGAGCTTTTTTAAATATCTTTGTTGGCCACGTAAATGTCTGCTTTTGAGAAGTGTCTGTTCATATCCTTTGCCAACTTTTTGATGGGGTTGTTTTTTTCTTGTAAATATGTTTACGTTCCTTATAAATTCTGGATATTAGCCCTTTGTCAGACGGGTAGATTGCAAAAATTTTCTCCCATTTTGTAGGTTGCCTCTTTACTCTTATGATAGTTTATTTTGCTGTGCAGAAGCTCTTTAGTTTAATTAGAACCTATTTGTCAATTTTGGCTTTCGTTGCAATTGCTTTTGGCTTTTTTGTCATGAAGTCCTTGCCCATACCTGTGTCTTGAATAGTATTGCCTAGGTTTTCTTCCGGGGTTTTTATGGTTTTAGAATAAGTGTCATGTGGCACTGAGAAGAATGTATATTCTGTTGATTTGGGCTAATTTTTGTATTTTGTAGTAGAGATGGGGTTTCGCCATGTTGGCCAGGCTGCTTTCGAATTCTTGAACTCAGGTAATCCACCCGCCTTGGCCTCCCAAAGTGCTGGGGTTACAGATGTGAGCCACCATGACCAGCCCAAAGCTACATTTTAATGTAATAATATTTTCTATGCAGTAGTTGTTCGTAATCCTTTCAGGGTCATGGTGCTCTTTGAGAATTTGATGAATCCAATGAAGCTTCTTGGAAGAGGTCTTAGACCCACACACACAGACACACATATACACACACACACACGAACACACACATATGCACACACACATATACACATACATACATACACACATACATACGCACATATGCACACACATATGCAAGTACACGTATACACATGCACATACGCACATACATACACACATATACATACACATGCATGCACATAGACGCACATACAGACATATGCATACACACTCACACATATTTCACAGCCTTGTATTTCATTGTATGGGCTCATAATCCCTGGGGCGTCCATCCCAGACCTGTTGATGAGTTAAGAACCTTTGGTTTAGAGGAGGCAATAACTGGTCAGACTGAGACTTCAGGAATAGGCCTGTCCGGAGCTAGGGAACTGGCCTGGCTGTTGGGCTTTTGGGTAAGTGACATTCCAGCAGTTCACATGTGGTGACCCAGGATGGAGAGTCTGAGCATCAGTTGGACTAGATCACGTGCACAGGGTGGAGGTCTCAGTCTGTCTAGGGGGTGCTCAGTACAGTGAGTGGACGTCATGGTCAGGGTTTGGAGCGAGACTCGAAGGAGAAGCTGCAAGTACAGAGTGTGTTGACCATTCTTCTGCTCCCTGGACATACCCTGCAGAGGCTGGCTGTTAGGGGAATCCCAAGAGACAGGATCTCTCCAGTTGCTTGGAATTCCAATTATTTTCTGATCCAAAAATCTAGCACTCATTGGTGAAGGACAAGCTGCGAGGGCCTCTGGGTGCTGGGCGAGCAGCCAACAGCAGCACGACCACCTCCAGGCCTCACCTGCGAGCCCCAGTGATGGTGGATTCTGCCTTTGGGCAAAAGTGAGAGCCCCCTGAGTGGAGAATGTGCATCAGCCCGTGGTGCTCCCACTGTGGAGGTGGTGGGGGTGCTGATAACAGGGAGGGCGTGGGAGGCAGACACGGATTGCAGATACTATCCTCAGGTATACAGGTGTCGAGGCCACATTTTCACCCAGGTCACACTCTTGCGTGTGCTGAATGTGTGTGTCGTCGTGAAGTGAAAATTTATAGCGAATTTATAATTTAACACTGAATTCAGTTTTCTCTTCCTATTTGAAGCAATTACATGACTTTGATAACTGTTTAGCTTTTGTTTCAAAATTTTAAAATGTAGCATTAAGGAAAATCTCTCCAACTAGTTTTTTAAATTGCCTTGTTTCTCTGCAGTAGCTCATCAGAGTGGTTGGGGTCATTTTACCCCCACCCGTGATGGCCTCCTCATCCTCCTCCTGCTTCTCCTCCCCCTCCCATTCGCCCTTTCCCTCCTTTTCTCTCTCCCTCTTTTCCTTTATTTAGCTCTGAGCCCCTGCCCAGCCCTGTGCTGAGAACCTTCTTGTGCATGGTTATTTCACTTAGTGTTCAGGAGGCCCTACCAGGTGGTCCAGCTAGTAGGCTTGTTTTACAAGTGAGGAAACACACCTGGAGAGGTTAGGCAGCCTTTCTGATGTCACACAGCCAATGTGGTTGTAGCTGGGACTCCAACCCAGGTAGTGCCATCTGGAGCCTGCCATTTCCTGTGTTTTGCAGCTTTCTCAGTGAGTGCAAGGCCAGCTCAGTCTTCCTTCTGTGCACTCTCAAAGGCATGGCCTGCAAGAGCTGTCTGATGACTGATTCATTGCTGTTTTCCCTTTTCTAGGAGTGTTTTTATTCTTTTTGCCTGCTGAACCTTTAGAAAAGTAACGGTAGGGCAATGTGTTAGGATTCTCCAAAGAAGTAGAACCAATAGAATGTGTGTATATATAGATACTCTCATGACTGTGGAGGTGTGGTGAGTCTGAGCTCTGACTGGGCAGGCCAGCAGGCAGGGGACTCAGGGAAGAGTTGCAGTTCCAGTCCAAGGCCGTCTGCTTTAGACCCAGGAAGAGCCGCTGCTGTGATGGAACCTGCAGGCCGCCTGCTGGAGGATTCCCTCTTGCTCAGGGGAGGTCAGTCTTTTGTTGTAGCCAGGCCTTCAACTGATTGGGTGAGGCCCACCCACGTCAGGGAGGACGGCCTGCTTTACTCAAAGCCCAGCAATTAAAATGTTAATCTCACCCAAAATCACCCTCCCAGAAAAATCCGGAGTCGCATTCAACCACATATCTGGGCACTGTGGCCCAGGCAAGGTGACATAAAATTAACCATCACAGACAGCAACCTAAATACTGTTGAACAAGAGGCCAACTCATTTTGTCAGATACCTAAGGGCATGTTAATGTAAACTTTCTGCAAGTTTGTCTCTTTCTCATAGACCTAACGGGAATATTGGGAAAAATTTGAATGGAAGTTCTTTTGCTTCAGGAAAGAAAGTAACTTTACAGGAAGAAGCAAGTCAAGTATGAAAAATAGAGTGAGACCTAGGAGAATAAAATCTTTAACAAGCAAGTGTCTTATTCCATTGAACTTAGAGCCCTGGACCTGTGTGATATGTCAATTCAGTCTTGACAGTTTTTCTGCAGAGGGAGCTAATAAAAAGAACTGTAAGAATTAGTTTTTTTTCTTTTTAGTGGAGAATGGAAGAAAAGTGGCTGACTCTTTGGAAGGTAATTCTTTAAAAGCAGGAAAATGTTTAAAGCAGGAGCAGTAACATCTGTGAAAGTGAGCTATTGGCAGCTAGAGAAGGACTGGAGAAAATGGGCAAGAATGAGAGATTCCATATTTTATTGGGTAAAATTCTTTAGCCAGTGAACAGTGACAAGGTGTTAAATTTCATCTGATAGTTTTAGAGGTTATTTATCTTGTAGACTTTTAAAGATACCTTGCAGAGTGGTGTGAGTTGTGTGCTTTGAGAAAGTCGTAAATGGTTTCCATCTCTGTGGCATTTCTTTAGCAAATCCTGGTTGTTTCTAGTGCTAAGATCTTCTTGGGAACTTCAGAGAAAGCGTTAGGTCTTTTGGGATTAAAGTCCTGTTGTGTAGTACCTGAATTTTCTTTCATCTCTGAGTGTTTCCCTTGTCTGAAATGAACAGTATTGGTGTTACCTAAGGGGCTAATCATACAGCAGAGAACTCCAGAAAAATATTAACTGAGTGTCTTTACCACACAAGATACTAAGTGCCAAAACACTTAAATGGACTGATACCTGGCTTTCTAGGTTACACATGCTGAAACGAACACTGAAAGTGATAATTCACTTATGTAAGCAGTTACAAACTATGCAAATACAAAAAAATAAAAAATAAAAAGAAATGGCAGTACATTTGTGAATGCTTGTGGTGTGCTGTTAGTTGTATTTTAGTGAAAGGTCTGTGCAATGAATATTATGGTAACAGTCGCTCTTAATCTGAATTCAGCAAGTTGTATGTCATCAAAAGATTAGTGAAACAGACACAATTCCTAAAGCCGTCTAAGTCTGCCAGTCTTTCCTTCCTGTGACACAAGTTCGTCTGTGGCCTACAAGTTGTTGGAGGTGTAACCTATTATTTGTTGGCCAGTTGTTGGAGGTGTTGGGTGTGTGGTTTTGGACACAGTGGGCATGGGTGGTCCCAGTCTCCTGGAGTGGACAGCCAGACGAATACCGTAGACACAGGAACACAAACATGTTGGAGCGTTCGTCGTATTTCTGGGGGTTGCAGCTTTGTCTCAGTTTGCTGTGGCTGAACCAAGGAAAAAGGCAGATGCAGACTTCTACAAGAATTATAATTCTATGGAAGATTTTGAGGAGATGAGGAAGGCTAGCATCTTTCAGGATGCAATGTAATTTTGGAATATAAGGAATTTATTTGGGTTGAATTACCTAGAAGTTTGTCACTGACCTGTGTTTCTGAACCATGAAGCATAGATATGTGGGCTAACAAATAGTTTCTCTTGATAAATAAACTGTTAACAAGTATATATAAAAAAGAGTCTATAGAGAAATGTATACAGGGGATGTGAATAGGGAGTTCCCAGAAGGGAAACCTGAATTGTCATAGTGTAATGATACTAAACAGCACTGATGATGAGTAAAACAAAAAAGCAAAGGAAAAAGACAGTTTCATATGCTTCAGATTAGTGAAAATTTAAGAAGTCTGATTATATAAAATGCTCCCAAGGACGGAGAGCACTGGGGATGATGAGGTTGTAAGAATGACTTTGGAGAGCAGTTTGCCAATAACTAGGAAGTCCTTTGCTGTTCTGCACCTAGGAATTAATTTTAGAGTAACAATATTACAAAAATTAACCATCAGAATTAATTTTAGAGTAACAGTGTTACAAAAATTAACCATCAGAATTAATTTTATAGTAACAGTGTTAGAAAAATTAGGAGTCTCATGTCAGATTTCACCTCACTTGTCCTATCAGCAGCATTTGACAAGATTGATTATTCCTTCCTTCTTGAAATATTTGTATTACTTGGAAATAGATGTAGCTGGGCACATGGCTGTCCAGATAGAGTCTAGATACTTGTACAATGCAAGGTGGGTTCTGCCCAGTCCTACTGTTACATGCTAGGGTCAGAGATAAATTCTACAACATCATATATTACAGGTTTAGGATGAGGTTTCACTGGAGGAAGGTGAGATGTACATGGACCAAGGGTTTACGTCTCATCCTTTTATCCCATACAGATGCACTGGGTGAGTTGGCGTGCTTTTTATTGGAAGGATCCTTCCATTTTGTGGGTTTCCTTTCTTGTAAGCATAGAAAACAGCCATGATATTAGGGGATAAGCAGTAATTACAGTACCTTCCCCCACCCTAGCAGTGGGGAAGTACATATTTCATGGGGAACCTGAATGAATGTGGGTTCAGTACCTCCAGCTGGGCTCTGTCCTAGCTCACTGCTCCAGAGGACTCCTGGGGTCCCTTTGGGACGTACCTCCTATTGTACTATGAGATGTGGCCATGTCCAGCGAGGAAGTGATGTCTGTGATATACATCACTGATACACATCAGCGTAACTGATGAGATGGAAATTGTTCATCTTTGCTTACGTTCTTTCCCTCTTTCCATGGGCTGGGATGTGCTGAACCATCTGTTTCCCTGCCCTCACTTAGAGCAGAGTGACAGGATTGAAAGACCCTGGGTTCCTAACATATCTTGGGAAGCAGAGCTCTGTGTCACCCTATATCACCTGCCTTGGATGAGAGAGAGAGAGAGGGAGAGAAAGAGAGAGAGAGAAAGAGAAAGAGAGAGGAACTTTGACTGTGCTTGCACCTCTGTGGCTGTGTTTTTGGGTCTCTTTATTATGCAGTCTAGCTGTGATGCAGTATCTCATAGTCATCTTAATGATCTTAACGACTATGAGGGCCAGTGGAGCTTGCCCTTGGTATTTGCATCCCTTGAATCTGCCTCATCTCAGTAAAGGGCAACTCCATTCTTCAAGTGCTTGGGCCAGAAAGCCTCAGGGACATTTCTGTGTTCTACTTCTCTTGTAGCCCATCAGCGAATCCCATTAGCTTTACCTTCACATTAAAAAAAAATACTTTGACCAGGCACAGTGGCTCACACTTGTAATCCCAGCACTTTGGGAGGCCGAGGCAGGCAGATCACCTGAAGTCAGGAGTTCAAGACCAGCCTGGCCAACATGGTGAAACCCGGTGTCTTCTAAAAATACAAAAATTAGCTGGATGTGGTAGGGCGTGCCTGTAGTCCCAGCTACTCGGGAAGCTGAGGCTGGAGATGGTGGTGGGTGCCTGTAATCCCAGCTGCTTGGGAGGCTGAGGTAGGAGAATCGCTTGAACCCAGGAGGTGGAGGTTGCAGTGAGTCGAGATCGCGCCACTGCATTCCAGACAGAGTGAGACTCCTTTCACCCTAATGTCATCACTGTGATAGGGCTGTGTCATTTGCTTCCAACAATTCTTAGATAATGTCTTTGTTAAATCCTATTCTTTTTTTTTGAGACGGAGCCTTGCTCTGTCACCCAGCCTGGAGTACAGTGGCACGATCTCGGCTCACTGCATCCTTCCAGGTTCAAGCAATTCTCCTGCCTCAGCCTTCCTAGTAGCTGGTACTACAGGCACCTGCCACCATGCCCGGCTAATTTTTCTATTTTTAGTAGAGACGGGTCTTGAACTCCTGGCCTTAGGTGATCCGCCCGCCTCAGCCTCCTAAAGTGCTGGGATTACAGGCATGAGCCATCGCACCCCACCTAAATCTTATTCTTTACAACAAAATGATACTATTTCTTTTCTTAATCATAGAAGTGTATTTTTACAACTGAAAGAGTCTTTGAAAGGTTGAAATGAAACTTGTCCTCCAACAATCTTTATATGACAGGTACTAAGGGATGTGTGTGTGTGTAAGTGTAATTTTTCTGACATTCTTTACAAGTTATATCTTCATCTGGGTTACATTCATTATTAAAGACAGCAATACTTTTATCTATGTGTTTGAACCTCAGTAGTAGGTAGCACTAGGAACTTGTCAATCCTGTTGAATCATTTTATGATCTATCTTTTTGTTTGTAGGAACAATCTAATTTGAACCTTATATGAAAAATTAATGTAGGTTCTCCTTTACAAATCTCCAAGGGAAAGAACTCTGTCATCTTTTTTTCTTAATAGTAAGAGCAGGTGCTTCCATTTATCATTCAAGGTGTACTGTTGCCTCCTTTTTTCTTTAGCAAAGTCAGTGTTAAAAAAGGCTTCCCCTGAGAAGTCAAAGGCTGCTACCTGACATCTGGTTGAGAAGGCTCGGTTCTCTTGTGAGCTGGGAGGAGTTTCAGTGGATTAAGCACTCTTATTTACCTCTTTTTCCTCCAGAGACCCCATTAAAATGGTAGGGAAAAATAAAAAGTACATATATCAACAACACAAAGAACTTAAAGGCCACCAGCATGGAAAAGGGATTTTACAATGTTTCTGGCAGCCTGCAAGCTGATAAGGCTATGTGACTACTAAATTAGTGTGGGGGCTGCAGCTGGGGAGGCTCACCTTGGAGACTGAATGCTGGGTGGGTAGGAGTCCCACGTGGGGCTGAAAATCACAGGGTTCCATGGGATGCCTATAGTCAGATCACTTCACGGATTCTCTCCTTCTTCCACCCCTGCCGTGGGTACAACCAAGGACTAGAAACCATATATTTATCCCTCTGCCTCATCTCTGAAGAAATGGACTGAATTGTCTGGGGAGAACCCCTGTTGCTAGTTTGGAAGGCGGCTTCTTAGAAGGGGAATTACTCCCATGCCCACTCTCTGAGTCAGACCCGTCTGCCCAGGACACCAGCCTCTCCAAGGTTTCTGTTGTTTCATATTTAAGTATGATGCATGAGCATTGTTGGCCAGATATTCCAGGAAAGCTTCTGATCAAAGAGGGCAGGATGAGATGAAGAAACAACAAAACAGCCCCCAGGAATCAGAGAGGACCCGGGGAATAGGGGAGGAGAACCCTATTCCGTAATGAGAGGTTTTGAAAAGGTCATCTTGTTAAAGAAAACGTTTTAGAAGGAAGGAACTACCAAAAGCAAGAAAGAAACATTGCAAACGAAAACTGTGACCCATGGAATGAATTCAAAGAAGCATTGATTGGAAGTAAGTTCAGAAAATTGCCCAGAAAGACAACAAAAAATGAAATACCCTGTGTGTTTAAATGCTAGCACATAGGGATGGGACTCAAACTCCCTTCCTGTGGGCTAGAGTGTGAGTGAAAATGGCCTTTCTCTTCATTGTAATTACTCTCCCCATCTCTCAGAGAATGGGTAGGCCTGGGGCAGCTGGTCTCAGCAGACCTGTCTGTTCTCCTGTGATGTGGGAAGGCATTGAGGAGCCTAGGCTGACAGTGCTTGTCCTCCTGACCCCAGCATGGGTCTCCTTGTTCATCATCTGCCTGCATGGGCAGCCCTGACCAAGGGCTTTATACTCACAGCCCGGTCTACACAGGTCACGTCCCTGAGAGGTGACCCGGCTTTGGACTCTATGTGGATGTGCACTTGATGGGGCTTGAAATCCAACATTAGTGGTATTTTCCCAAATTCTGAAAAAGTGATGCTAATCTTCTGCCTTTATATGGGACTCAATTTGTAGATAGCTTGCTTTCTTTTTCTTTTTTTACAGACATGGTCTTACTCTGTTACCCAGGCTGGAGTGTAGTGGTGTGATCATAGCCCACTGCAGCTTCGAACTCCTGGGCTCACACCATTCTCCTGCCTCAGCCTCCCAAGCAGCTGGGACTACAGCCACCCACTACCATGCCCAGCTAAGTTAAAAAAAAAATTGTAGAGATGGGGTCTTGCTGTGTTACCCAGGATGGTCTTGAACTTCTGGCCTCAAGAGATCCTCCTGCCTCAGCCTCCCAAAGTGTTGGGATTACAGGTGTGAGCCACCATGTCCAGCTCGGCAGCTTTATAATCCTAATAAAGCATTTGTGGGATTTGGGTCCATCTTTAAATGTCCTCAAGAAGCATATGTGTGTGTAACTCAAACTCAGAACTTGAGTTCTGAAACCCAAGTTCATGATTCCTTCCTTCACTGTGATGTGGGCACTTCTCCAAAGTGAGGTATTAGTGGAATGGAACTTGGATTTTTAAAAGGTGTAGTGGAATGCTTATATAATATTATAACTAAGTAAAACCTTGAAAAAATGTTCATGAGAATGTGGTAGAAGTTTCTTTCTTTTTTTTTTTTTTGTTTCTTATGACTTTCTAGGAGTTTGCCTTAATGAGTTGAAAGCATGAGCGATGATTACCAAGTTGTGTGTAAACCTTCCTCCACCTGAAATTGCAGAGTGTTTTTCTCCCTGATCATTTCTTTCCTGTCGTAGCGTTCATCTTTGATGCCGTAGTTGGGCGCAGGGCAGGTTTTGAGTTTCCTGATGTTTCATGTGTGGATTGGTCCTTCAATTTGAAGAATAAGATAATGATCATAGACAAGGATTTGGCTTACAGCTGAGAGTGCTGAGTTGGAGTCTTGGAAGAGAGACGTGCTGCAGAATAAAGTTTATAGTTTTAAAATTTCTAGTTAGAAGTTTAAATGGTCACACTGAGCAATGCCAATTAGCTTCCATTGCAGTGAATTCTAAGGACTTGCAAGGCAACTTTTATTTACCAGAATTTAACTGAATTAATCAGTGGTTAAGGTAACTCCATGGTCTAGGAATTGTAAATTGGTTATACTTAGTTTTTATTTTATAGCAATATTTATTGTAATAGGTTTATGGTACATTTGAATATTAGAGCTTTGAGAGCTAAATGTTAACTGATATAGTTTTTCTTATAAAATTAGCAAGATTCTTGAGAACGTTTCTTTTCTACTTTTTAACCTAAAGTGGTCTGTATACGTTTATGGCTTTATAGATACGTCTACCATGGAGAGCAATTCATTTAGGTAGTCTGTGGCTCATAAAAGATTGCTTGAGTCTTGTGCAGACACATATAAAGGAAAGCTATAGGACCTCTGGGAACTTGAGGCTCGCAAGATGTAAATGTCAGAGCCGTCCCTAGAGCTCCCTTGCTATGACTTTGACCGTTTAAATTTCAGCATTGTGCAGTGACTTCATAGGGTGCTTGCATATTTTAAAAATTTTCACTTAACTGTTAACTTGGATTATACGCATGTTAGAAACAACCCTGTGGAAAATAGAGCTTTCTTCCCGTAGTGGATATAGACGTCTGTGTTAGGCACAGGACCATTTATCGCTGGATTATAATAATTGTTCTTCTTTTGTAATGGGATAGGAAATGCATATTTATGGGGTACAGTTGTATATTTTGTCCTAATCTTGAAACTTATGTGAGTCATTTTCATATTATCTCCATCATGCCTGCATTTTAAATTACTGATTTATCTGTTTGCAAAAGCTTTGGAGAATCAGAGAATCTACTGGAAAGACTCCATGTGAGATTGGGCTCTGAACACCTGGGGGCTTGAGGCTGTTTCTAGTTTTTTTTTTTTTTTCTGAGACAGTGTCTCGCTCTGTCGCCCAGGCTAGAGTGCAGTGGCACGATTTCGGCTCAGCCTCCCGAGTAGCTGGGATCACAGATAGCTGCCACCACACCTGGCTCATTTTTCTATTTCTAGTGGAGATGGGGGGGGGGGTTTCACCATATTGGCCAGGCTGATCTTGAACTCCTGACCTTGTGATCCACCCGCCTTGGCCTCCCAAAGTGCTGGGATTGCAGGTGTGAGCCACCGCACCTGGCCGCTGTTTCTAATTTTTTTCCGTGAACTTGGTCAAGAGTTAATGACGAAGAAGCACCTGTTAGCATAGTTAGGAGGAACAAAACAGGGTGAATGAAAGGTCTTTGTAAAGCATAAAATGAGTCCAGATTTTAGTTCATTTGGCTTGTATATCTTGTTTTCGTCTCAGTGACCCTAGACATGCAAGAGGGCCACTTTTAAAAAGGGTGTAGCCTTTGAAGAATGATGACTACATCTATAACGAAGGAAGAGAACACAAGAACACAGTTTTATGCTCAGCCTCCCAACGTGCTGAGCGTACAATATTTTTGTGTTTGTATTTCCATGTGAGTATGTATAAAATAAGGAAGGTGACATTTTGTTTGAGAAAAAATCTAGTGATAAAAGTGGACAAACAGATGAGTTATTCTTTATTATAAGCGGGGTGAGGCTGGGACGTTGCCATATAAGGTAAAGCTGGACTCGGCCTTGTTTGCCTGAGTTCCGTGCATGTTGGTTTTGCTCTTGGTGTGATGATCATCCTTGTGCGTGGGCGGATGTTGACTGAGAGGCACGTTAGTGATGAAGCAGCAGGTCCGGCCACTGCTTGGCTTGTATCTTGGTCTCCATTCTACTGGCTGTTCTGTGAAAGCTCATTGGAAGTTTCAATCTAGAAGTCATGGGTATGAATAATCAATAACCAGCAGATTAAAAAGATATATGTAATAATTTAGTATGTTTATAATAAAACAAGAGCTAATATTAATTGGTTGGTGTGTACCTGGGTTGGTTATATTTTATTTGCATATGTCTGTCCTTTAGTCCTTAGAACACCCCTTATAAGCAAAATATCATTAGCAACCTGGCACCCTTTGATTGGCTAGAAAAGAGTCTAAGAGAAATTGAGTAAATTATTCAAAGTCATGCATCCAGTGATGGTGGATCCCCCGTTGGGGCCCAGATCTGCCCCACACCCTTATGGCCAACTTCCCTTTTGTAGTAATTCCACTGCTTTAGGTTTGAGCCGGAAGGGTTGCATCAAGCCTTTGAAGAACCTAAACAATGCACAAACTACTTGGGTCTTGGACCTTAAATGGGGGCTGAGTGAAGTCCTGGGTGGAGCCCGGGCTGCCCACGTGGAGGGCTGGCTGTGATGGGTGGTTCATCTGGGGCTAGGGTCTTGCTGTCATTTATGCTGACTTTGCACATCCATCTCTTGGTGCCCTGGGAAGGCTCAGGTCCCTCAGGGATGCAGGTGTAGCCCAGTGGGGCCTTTGAAGATCTGTAGCTTGGGAGACATGCCAAAGAGATATGCTTTCCTCAGGTCTTGGGTTCTAAGCACTTGTAGAATGTTGCCCTCCACAGTCTGATACTTCTTTTTCAAAAGATGCCTTGGCCGGGTGCGGTGGCTCACGCCTGTAATCCCAGCACTTTGGGAGGCCGAGGCGGGTGGATCACGAGGTCAGGAGATCGAGACCATCTTGGCTAACACGGTGAAACCCCGTCTCTACTAAAAATACAAAAAATTAGCCGGGCATGGTGGCGGGTGCCTGTAGTCCCAGCTACTCGGGAGGCTGAGGCAGGAGAATGGCGTGAACCTGGGAGGCGGAGCTTGCAGTGAGCTGAGATCCGCCACTGCCTCCAGCCTGGGTGAAAGAGCGAGACTCTGTCTCAAAAAAAAAAAAAAAAAAAAAAGATGCCTCAAATACATTCCTTCCTTGTTCAGAGGGCTGTCACCCCTATTTTGAGTCCTATCACTTTTCTACTTGGATAACTGAAACAGCCTCAGTTTCCCTGCTTTTAGACTCTTTTCTTTCCATTCAAACCCTTATACTGTTGCCAGATTCATTTTATACAGAGATGTCCCATTTGTTAAGCGTCTATGTTGACTTCCTGGGTGTCCATAGTTTATTCCTACCACTCAGTATTATTTCCCAGTGCTGTGCGCTTGGAGTGTGCCCTAGTGTGACCATTTGCAGTGCAGTCGTCCCTTGAGATCTGTTGGGGGATTGGCTCCAGGACCCCCAAGGATACCAAAATTTGCAGATGATCAAGTCTCGAACAGAAAATAGTATAGTTCACACATAACCTATGTACATCTTTCTGCAGACCTTAAATCATCTCTGGATTACTTATAGTACCTACTACAATGTAGATACTATGTAAATAGTTGTTACATTGGAGTTTTTAGGGAATAATAAGAAAAAAAAGTGTACATGTTCAGTAAAGATGCATTTTATTTCATATATTTTTGATGCTCAGTTGAATTGAACCCAGGGATGGGGAACCCATGGATATGGAGGGGACTACTTATTCTCCCCATTTCTCTATTTCTCCATTTCACCTTCAGTCCACCCCTCTTGTTATTTTGTGCCCATTTCTCTGCAAATTCCTTCTTCTTCTGAAACTGTATAAACTGTTCATGTAATTCGGGGCCTGGTTTGATTTTCCCACCTGGAAAGCCTTTCTCTGATTTCCCTAGCCTCACTGGTTTCTCTCTCCTTGGAACCTCCTGAATTGTACACTTTATAATTTCTTTGTGGTTTGTGAAAAGTTTCTAAATAGGCTGTAAGACTTCGGATTCTTTCATCTCCTTGGTGCCCAAGCATGTGGTATGTGTCAAGTTGCTACTTAGAGACACATTTTCAGTCTCAGTTTTAGTATTTACTTAAGCATGGTGATGAAAGTTAAGAAAAACATTGAAATCAAACCTACATGGAGAAAACTGCTGTGATTTTAAGTTGATTGGATACTTTGCTGCTGTGTTGAAGTGTTTTTTTTGTTTTGTTTTGTTTTTCTTTCTCCTTTGTCTTGCCAGCAATCAAAGAGAAGTACACAGACTGGACAGAATTTCTCATACGTGACTTGACTGGTTCGAGGACAGCACCCGCCAACCTCCTGGAAGGTGTATGTATTGTTGTTATACATCTAATGTATCTCTGAAGCACCCCAGTTACGTGAGCTCAGACCTGACAGCACCTTTGCATATATCCTTCAGCAGATGCGTGCTTTCTGCAGACACTGCCATCCAAATAGCCTCCCTTCCTCTTTTGTCCTGAATTACTTAGGTGACTGATTTGAATGGCATTGATGAAACTTCCCCTGTGATGCAATCAGCAAATGGAAAATTTGCTCTATGTGAATCCAATTTTTAAATCACAATATGCTAGGATGTCTTCCTACTGTCCTATATCTTTAAGCCTCTTTCCTATGTGAGTGAATATAAATCAAATCCTGTAGAATCACTGTTTTGAACAGGTGACAAGATCATGTATGTGCTAATATAGTCTCTTGGAGTACATTGATAAGTCGTTCCATTAAATGTTCTATTTTGACGCATAACCCCAAGATTTGAACATACACACGTTAACCAATAATTGAATTAACTTCTCTTGTAAAAACAAGAGGAGAAATGGCAGATCGTATTTCAGTGTAGCCAAGGAAATTTTAATGTATTGAAGAAAACATAGTTTAATCTGAAATCTTGATGGTTTATTTGAAAATAATTTTATGTTGAAACATCTTAGTATGTATATGTAGTATTTGTATTTGTATAATGGAACAGGAAGAGAAAGGCACTGTGTCATAAGTAATTATTGAATTACCTAGTCTGTTTTTCTTAAGAATGCCCCTAAAAAGGGGAAAACTTAATGAATAACAAGTAATAAGGTGTGGATTTTGACAGTATCATATTCTCTTAACCTTAAACTTTCCCTCTTTTCATAAATGATATTGACATTTTAGAACGTCATAGTCTAATATAGTTAACGGGTTTTGTTTTGTGAAGATTTTGCCTGATGTATTTGTTATATATCATTAGAGATACTATTTTAATTGTTCATTAACAAATCAAAATGATGATAGTTCATCCTTTCAAAAGGACAAATTGTCTCACTATGTTAATTTTCTAAAACATATTTGCCTACAAAGCTGGCTGAACAAACACCCTTTTCATATGCTATCATAGGCTAAGAAGGTTTCTTAGAAGGGGCAGTAATTATACATTCTGTAAACCAATTACCAGCTTAAGTGTAGAAATAATTTTACATAGTAGTCTAATTTAGCTGATCATTACTGTGTGTTAGACATGTCATTGACACACACTCATGCCTTCGTCACATAATCAAAGTATGAGAGCATTTTGGTCATTAGAGTAGCGGCCAGTAGAGTAAGATGAATGTCTGGGAAACCGTCATGGTGTAAATTGAATGCTCTGTATTAGAATTATCTGTCTGTTGGAAAAGTAGACCGTTTGCTACCACGTTTTCTAGGTCCAGGCAAATTTGGGTAGAACTCTTCTTAAAAGCATACTGATTGTTAACAAAAGCAATTTTATCTGGGAAGGGTGATTTGTTTGGTGAGAACTTAGCACAAACTGTTATTTTCTATTGACTTGTGATTTTTTTGTTGTTGGATACGGAATGGGGTACATGGATGTGTGGGAGGGAGGAAAGGGAAGGGGTGGGGCATGGGCTGGGCAAGGATGGGGTGGAGGGAACGCCAGACTGTTCGCCAGTACCTTGGATGATGGTGTGAAAAAATATTATCTTCTGCTGTCATCTGTTTCCATGAGAACCTTAAAATAAAGTTTAAAATAAGGAGTTTTGCTTCTGTTTAAACAGCCTCTGCGAGGGAAAGGCCCTATAGACCTCATTACAGTTGGTTCCTTAATAGAACTTCAGGATTCCCAGAACCCTTTTCAGTACTGGATAGTTAGTGTGATTGAAAATGTTGGAGGAAGATTACGCCTTCGCTATGTGGGATTGGAGGACACTGAATCCTATGACCAGTGGTTGTTTTACTTGGATTACAGACTTCGACCAGTTGGTTGGTGTCAAGAGAATAAATACAGAATGGACCCACCTTCAGGTAAGGGCCAAAGCTTTTGCTGCTGTAAAGTATTTTAGAAAAAGATGTGATATTTTCCTGGATGTGTTTCTAGAAAATGTATGAGCTTTCTGGTATCTTTTATATCTGAGTATGTGAATATTAAGCACTTTAACTTCACAATGCTTTCCATAGAGACTAAAACCTAAGACCTCAATCAATAGTGTTCTCAAAGGAGAAAGCAATGTTAGAGGCCTTAGGGAAATTGATCTAGTTCCTTGGGAATCACTGGTTCAGAAAGGAAAGACACAGTAGATTGAGACTTGAGGATATTCTCCACGTTTTTCTTTAGGAATTTTGATAGTCTTGTAAGTAGGTTCCGAAATCTCTGGCCATCTGTGTACCCATCTCTCAGTCTGTCCATTCACCAATCCATCCACCTACTCATCCACCCATCTATCCATTTATCTATTCATCCATCCATTCATCCACCTATCCATCCAGCATTCATCTATTTATCTGACCATCCATTCATCCATCCATCTAAATATCCAAACCACAATCCAGTCTGACCAAGAAGCAGCATTGAGTAGATAGACCATCATGTTTTCTCCTGGCATGTAAGATTTTAGTTAGCTTCAAATGCACTGTCAAATGGCTTTGCAGAGGCTTAATTGGAAAGAATCCTGCCTTATGCTCTCTGTCATACCTACCTAGTTAAAAATCAGCGTATTTACAAAATAACCATTCTTGAATGTTTACTATGTGCCAGGTGATTTTACATCTGGTACATTGTTTGTTTTGATTCTAAAAAAATGCTGCATGTTTGTTGTGAATTTCATTTCACAGTAGAGAAAATTGAGACTGGAGTTCAGCTAGTTGTCCAAGGTCCCCTGTTTTAAGGGACAGGCAGTGCAATTCAGATTCCCAGGTGCTGGGCCCCTCCCACCCCTCTTACCGGCCTCCTCTTACCGGCCTTTGAATGGGAAACCTCAGAACAGAAATACTGGATTCTTGTAGAATTAGAGATGCCAAGGAGGAAGTACGTATTTTTTCAGAAATTGGTGAATCTTCATTCCGGTGAGTTTTGTAGCTGTATTTGGAATAAGGACATGGCTCTTTGCTTTATTAAAATCACCAGAGAATTTCCTCCCATATTAGTTGCCGATGTTAGTGTTGAGTACATGAAGGAGAGGAGTTATATTTATCTTTTCTGTC